>NC_000006.12:93209525-93360464 GCF_000001405.40 Homo sapiens | reverse complement strand
AAAACTTGTCAGCACACACCTCTTATTTGTCTGTATGTCTACTTTGGTTGTTTGTTTTACTTGTCCAGGCCTTAATGTCTCAGACAGCGAGTTGTGAGTAAAGCATTGCTTTCTCTGTTTTATGGAATGTTGTCTCTGATCTTTGAATTACAAATAATACATAAAGCAAGATACAATGAATATTTTAAAAAAGAAGAATTTCCATCCCGAGAAATCTAAGCTAAACCCTTTATCCTTTCTGTTAACCATATTTTTTAATGTGACAAGATCATATATTTAGAAACATTTTAAGGTTGTATATTTTTGTTATGTTTAGTAATCAATATCATTGTTCTCTCTATGCCTTATATTTGCAATAATTGCTATTGAAAACAAGTGAAGATGCATTATGCATCTTTGCTTAATGTTTTTGTAACTGCTTTCCTCTTGTATTAATTGAGAAGCCAACTAAAGACAACATAGCCAACTGGCTTCTGAGGGCAGTAGTGGGTCATAAATTTACAATGAGATGGTTGTAGCCCTGTATAAATCTATCTGTCTATCTCTATCTATCTATCTATCTATCTATCTATCTATCTATCTATCTATCTCTCTCTCTCTCTCTCTCTCTATCATCTATTGATCGATGGATCTATATTCACAACATAACATACCTTTAAATTGAGTCTTTAAATTATATAAAATACCTATCTTGTTAATGTAAATCTACTTTCTTGATGCCCCCTAAATTATTTTGAGCTCCCAAATATATCAAAATTGTGCATTAAAATTCAGCATTTGAACAGAAGTTAAGGGATGACTCAACTGTTTTCTGGAAACTATGACATCTCAGTACTTTAGGATTGTTCTTGCTTTCCATGCCCCGCAGAGTGAAAAATGTGGTTAATTTTTTGCATAATACCCAAGTGGAGAATATTAAATGAACTTTCAGCCAATAAATTAAATGCTAAATTTTTATTTATGTTAAATTTTCACTAACTTTTCTTTACAGATATGATTTTCTTTTAGCTAAATATGAAGGTTACTGAAATTTAAGTAGATGTTTATTTAATAAATATGAAGAATAGATTGAATGTCTTCAATATATAATATATTATATTAATAAAAATTATTGAAATAATGTAAAAATAACTTGCTAAATTTTCATTGAAAATAAATATAAATATATGAAATGTCCAGTGATATTAAATGGTACACTGTTACTGGATTTAATTATAGAATCTAAATGAATAAGAGCAACTTCATTAGGAGGTGGCAGAAATGCTCGCTGTCCATCTCTGTTCGTTGCTGAGAAAAGTTGCTGTGTTAGTGTGATTGCACCCTAACCCTCTCTCGGCAGAGGACAAACAGGGCCATAATCTACTTGCCGTTGATGGCTTTCCCCTTGTTTCTGGTGGTGCAGCCATCTCCTATTCATAGGATTTCATTATTTTTAGTAACAAAGAAGTTCACTTAGTGGAAACCAGCCTGCCTTATAACTTAAATTGGTTGAAATTCTATCTTGGAGTTTCCTGAAAATTTGGGAAAATATATTTCTATCATTTTCAGGTGAAAAATTTTACATAGTTATTTATTTCTAGTCTGGTAATTAAAGTTACATTAATGTTTTTCAACATGAACCAAATCAACATGTCAAAAGTTAGTTTAAAGCTATATTATATTAAGAAAACATAACTTGAAGTGTTCTAATGCAGACCAACAAACAGTTAATTATGTTGAAATCCAAGTTAAATTTGAATTATATATCGGAATTAAATGTTCTAAGGTTTTGGCTAAATAAATTATGCCTGTATTCAGTTTTCTGCTCCAGACTTTGGCCTGGTGCCAACTGCAGGTGCAAGTTTGCTGTATCATTTTGTTTGTATTATTTTGTTTTAAGATGAACTATCATAACATTTGGCTAGTGAAATACCCTAAAATGAATATTTTATCATCAAGAGCTTGTTTTACATACATCACATTTAATATTTGATTCCTTGCTAAATAATACAATTTTTTTTTAAAGATCGATTTGCTCTCATGTCTCAATTTTTGCTTTCTTTTGCATTCCCAGCCTGTGGCCGTGGGTTCTACAAGTCTTCCTCTCAAGATCTTCAGTGCTCTCGTTGTCCAACTCACAGTTTTTCTGATAAAGAAGGCTCCTCCAGATGTGAATGTGAAGATGGGTATTACAGGGCTCCATCTGACCCACCATACGTTGCGTGCACAAGTGAGTTGTATTATGAAAGTAAAGGACTTTCCAATCCCTTCCACTCATTTGTACTGTTGTGACATCAATGAAATAGATATTGAATTTGTGATACATTCTTAATTATACTTAAATATTAAAATTATTTTAAAATATTAAGATAAAATTTTCTTTCATAAGCAGATAGGTTTAGTAATATAAATATATCTTACATCAACTTTGGTGTTATTTCCGTGTCTGCAAAATTAAGATGCATTTTAATATTTTTCACATGTATCTCATAAGAATCATAAGTAAAATTAAAAGTTATTAGGGTCAGTCAGGCAGGGTGGCTCATGCCTGTAATCCCAGCACTTTGGGAGGCCAAGGCGGGTGGATCATAATCACCTGAGGTCAGGAGTTCGAGACTAGCCTGGCCAACATGGTGAAACCCCGTCTCTACCAAAAATACAAAAATTAGCTGGGAGTGGTGGCGCCCACCTGTAATCCCAGCTACGCGGAAGACTGAAGCAGGAGAATCACTTGAACCTGGGAGGCGGAGGTTGCAGTGAGCCGAGATTGTGCCACTACACTCCAGCTTGGACAATAAGAATGAAACCTCGTCTCAAAAAAAAAAAAAAAGTTATTAGGGTCTTGCATGGATATTAAATGTTATTAAAAAGTAATGGTTTCTGAATTAAAATTCCATTACTAAATAGAGCAGACCTCACTAAATAGAGCAAATCTCACATCTTGGTTCTTCAATTAATGAATGTTTGAGAGATCCAAATCCAAAGCCAATCTCAGGCATTGCTATAAATCATTCTTGAGTACATTAAAATGAATAAATGTATTCCCTGTTATGTGGTTAAAAGGAGAACTATTTTTAAACTACTGCACAGCTGTTTTTTTTAGGTGCATTAACTGTACTGTTTTAATTGCTTGGAAGAAAAATAGTTAAAGACTGTGGCAAAAGTACAAAGACAGTTGTTATCCTGTTTTCATTTTGACGTATTAAAAGGAAAATAAATAAAGCCTCTTGCCAAGTGAATTCAAGGAGGCTTTTATACAGCTTCTCTAGTAAAGGTAATGAAATGTTTATGTGAAAGAAAGCATTTCAACTCGTTTTCTCTTTGGTAATTGAGCCACTAGCTTAATGCCCCACACAGATCCTTTTGTTCTTTTTGTTTGTATGTTTTTTTTTCTATTTTTGCTTATTTACTTATTTATTCTTGGTTTCCCAAGGGCCTCCATCTGCACCACAGAACCTCATTTTCAACATCAACCAAACCACAGTAAGTTTGGAATGGAGTCCTCCTGCAGACAATGGGGGAAGAAACGATGTGACCTACAGAATATTGTGTAAGCGGTGCAGTTGGGAGCAGGGCGAATGTGTTCCCTGTGGGAGTAACATTGGATACATGCCCCAGCAGACTGGATTAGAGGATAACTATGTCACTGTCATGGACCTGCTAGCCCACGCTAATTATACTTTTGAAGTTGAAGCTGTAAATGGAGTTTCTGACTTAAGCCGATCCCAGAGGCTCTTTGCTGCTGTCAGTATCACCACTGGTCAAGCAGGTATGTTTTGTGTTTATCTTCACTGAATGAAATAATGTGACTACCTAAGTGAGGTGTCTTACTTGAACATTTAGTTAGTTTCTCTGCACAGAGCTTGATTCTTCCAGCTTGTTGATTATTTACAGCTTTAACTTTTCCTGTTGCTTGTTACACCATTAGTGTACTCATTAACATCTTCAGAGATCTGGCAGGAGAAATAAAAGGAGATAAAATTGGCCAGGCGCGGTGGCTCACACCTGTAATCCCAGCATTTTGGGAGGCCGAGGCGGGCAGATCACAAGGTCAGCAGTTCAAGACCAGCCTGGGCAACAAGAAACCCCATCTCTACTAAAAATACAAGAATTAGCCGGGCATGGTGGTGCACACCTGTAGTCCCAGTTACTTGAGAGGCTGAGGCAGGAGAATCACTTGAACCTGGGAGGCAGAAGTTGCAGTGAGCCGAGATCGTGCCACTGCACTCCAGCATGGGTGACAGACTAAGACTCTTGTCTCTGGAAAAAAAAAAACAGGAGATAAAATTGTAAACCCTTAAGACTGCTATAAAACAAATAACTCCACTGAAAGATCTAGAGGAGGGGAGTGAAAATAGTGGTCAAAATGAAGTAAAGGATGTATTCACACTTTTACCTTTTTGTTTGTTATGCTCATGATCATAAACTACATGATAATTAGGAATAATGAAAGAGTTGGCTTCATTGTCTCACATAATGTTACCCAATTTTTTACTACATAGACTATGATCTTTGTAATACATGACGAGTCTGCATTTTAATATGCATGAGGGAATTTTAAGTTCATCAGTAGATTTGTGATCATATTAATTTGCATTTTTATATTCGAATAAATGGCAGATTTCATGAGGATTTCAGAAGAAATGGCATAACCATGATAATAGTGCACTTGTAGCTTAGCCTAAAGGTAGTTTACACTTATTTTCTTACTGGCACTTGAAATGCCCTCCTTAACTTATTCTTTGTTGTGGTTAGTTATGTTTTGGAAAATACGAATTGGAGACTTTCTAAACCTTCAGAAAAATCTTACTGCTGAAGGAAATCTCAGAAATTAGGGGCTTTCTCAGTCTTTTCAAAAATTCTTATTGCTGAAGATAGATGCTATGTAGTAAATGCAACAAAGTGCTACGTTATCAACAATATTAAAATCGGGCCTTTACTAGAGTAGTGTGTTGTGTGAACAATGTAACAAGCTAATAACAAGGTCCTCTTGGTCTTTGGCTGGCTGTCTAAAAGCAACCAGTGTTATCCCAAATTCCTGGACACAGACTAATCTATTCTTCATTTCCATGCTAATTTTAACCAACTGTTACCTATTTAGATTATATCTACATAATGAAAACTATGTATATGATCTCAGACTTACCATTTTTTAACAAATTAGTGGGTTTTTATTCTAAAGGTTTCATTCTGATGCTTATTTCAAAGGCTGTTTGAATCAGATCTCCTATTTATAAGAGCAGATATCGGGAGGTAAAACATAGAAATGTAAATCTTTAATAATTAGACAAAAAATAAGTGATTTAGCTAATTACCTGGACTTACCTATTTTACTTTGGACTTACCTCTTTTATTAGACATATTTATCCTATTTATTTTAAAATGCTGTTGTCATAAGATAGTTCCACTTGCGTTGTTTTATATATAAATTTGTTGTCATAACTTTGCAGTGAGTGGATTTGAAACGTTTTTAGGTTTATGATTTTGACATAAGAGCTATCTTTTGGAAGCATTAATATAAACTTGGTTCTACTAAGTTAGAATGACATTCTTTTATTCCTGCTAATATCAAGAAGTGACATTTTTATTTTTGAATATAACCAGGAGATGCTGAACTGATACCAGAAATAGTGTTTGTCAAATTGGCCACTTTGGGGATGTCTTTTCATGTTCCTAAAATGTCTATTGTTTGATTTCTCAAGTTAATACTATACAGGCTAAATATATTATCAAATTTCTGTAAGTTTCTGGAATCAAATATTTCGCAGTTGTTATGTAAAATGGCTTTGGATGTTGACTCCCTTCTGGTTAAGAACAAACTAGGTTGGCTGGAGGGTTTTTTTTTTTTTTTTGCTTTATTTGTGGGGGAGGTTGATTTAAATGTACAATAAATATATTGTGATGATTGTACAACAATCCTGTAAATATACTAAAAATACTTAATCGTATATTAAAATGAGTACATTTTATGCTATTTAAATTATACCTCGATGAAAAGAAAAAATGATAAAAAGAATACCTATACATTTATTAAATAACATAAACATAAATAAAGGTTAAAAAACTAGGTTTGCAGTTTTGTATTAAAATACTAATTCATGATTGCCTAGTCTGACTACATCTCAAATGCTAAAACTCATGAATTTACAGTTAACTTTTTCTAACAGAGAAAATTTGGAATGTGTTAGTGATTATTGTTCTTTTGTGTGAGTATACTCAGTTCCCTCCATTACCATATTTTTGCTCTTCCTAAAGGGGGGTGATTTGAGACTTTGTCCGAGTTCAAAACTATCCAAGGAACCCTGTAAAACCCTTGAAATTATCATTCTCCATTAAACAAATAGCATCATTTCCAACCTAGTTCATGCTGAAATCACTTCAACAATGAATTTAAGTCTATATTTCTGGTTGGTTATCTTCCTCCTCAGCAATCCACTGATGCCTAGCATAAAAGGGTTTATTAAGAGAATTTCATGTTTCTGGGAAAGCTTAGAGAGTCAGGATAACAAATAATCAGCCAGTGCTTGAAAGGTAGTGTGTGTACTTTGTAGTTCCTTTTCTGTTAAGTTTTGAGTTTGGAGCACAAGACCCTTTACCAGTATTTGTGTGAGTAGAAGTGTATTGAATATCCTTTGCTCACAGGAAGAATAGGGCCATTGGTATCAAGGGCCCTGAGTTCTAGTTTCTAGTCTACCACTATGAGGTATATACATTTTGGGTTGATCACTAAACTCCTCATGAAAAAAAAAATGGGGATAAAATAATATCTACCTTCCTGTATTATCATGTTAAGTGAGATGATGTTAGAGGAAACTAAACTCATACATTGCCATAAAAATGCTAATGCAGTGAATAGCAAAATGAATGCCAATTAGTCCTCTTTTTATGTAACTCTTTGGGAACCTGTCAAGGCAAAATGGACCAATTTCTTTATCTGCAGAAGCATGAGGGAAAATAATGTGAGTGCAGAATTGGCAGTTAACGTATTATAACATTGGAAGAGGGAGAAATTAATTTTGTTTGGCCTGTAAAAAATATGACTTATCTAGTTATCAATTATCTTATGATAGAGGTTCTTATGTAAATCTTAGCTTTAAGATAGATTTGTATTGAAAAGCATATTTTAATATTCATATTTATATACTTTTAATATTTACTTATCATGAACATGCCATACACAAGCTGGCTGAACCATACATTTTTGTTCTTGTTGTTTTGTTAGTAATTATATTGACCTATTAAGGCTGAAGTCACAAAGATCAAGTTACGTACAACGGAGATATTTTTTAAAATATAGAAGTAGGGGGAAAACATATGTATTTAATTTATGACATTATGACCCTTATTCTTCCTTATATTTAAAAGTTCTCTTTAAAAAATGCCTTTTTTAACCTTTTATGTTAAGTTCAGTGGTACATGTGCAGGTTTGTTACATAGGCAAACTTGTGTCATGGGAATTAGTTGTATAGATTATTTCATCACCCAGGTATTAAGCCTACTGCCCATTTGTTATTTTTGCTAATCCTCTCCCTCTGGCCACCCTCCACCCCACAGTAGGCCCCAGTGTGTGTTGTTCCCTTCTGTGTGTCCCTGTGTTCTCATCATTTAGCTCCCACTTATAAGTAAGAACATGTGGTATTTGGTTTTCTCTTCCTGTGTTAGTTTGCTAAGGATAATGCCCACCCACTTCATCCATGTCACTGCAAAGGACACGATCTTGTTCTTTTTTGTGGCTGTGTAGTATTCCATAGTTTTCCATTCTTAAGCACTATTTAAGTGCTGCTTTTTAATATTAGTTTGTCCAACTACACTAAGTACCTAGTGCATGTCAAGCACTATGGGGGATGCTAAGGATAGGAAGGTAAAGAATGGTTCTCTTCTTAAGTATCTAACAATAGAACACTTTATTATAATGTTGTAGAACAACATTGGGAACAAAATACAAAACTCTGAAGAATGATTCATTCAGAGAACAAATGAAAGCCCTTCCATAAAAGATGTTAGTCAGTCTAGAGTTTCAGAATGGATGTGATTTTGCTAGATGTAAGAGTATAAAAGTAAATCCTATTCTAGGCCCTGAAGAATACTACCCCTTTTCTGTAATCAGAACATGGTAATTGCCACTACCTTCCTTCCTGAGACTAAGTATCGTAGCACAGAAGTAGTATGCAGAAGTATGAACGTTAATAAAAACAGATCACTCAAAAAATGCTGTTTCTTTCTTTAATACTTCATTCACTCTGGGATTATTTAAGCAATTGTAATATGTGGTCTCTCCTCAAAGGGAAATAAATGACTTAGCAATTATCCTTCAAATCAGGAACTGTGTCATGTTTATCTGTGTCACCACCATCAAATACAGTCTTTTCTGCATACTAGCTGTACAAAAAATGTTGTGGAATTAGGCCAATGGGAAAACCAGAAAAATTAAATCATTATACAAGAGTGAAACCATTAAGGCATTAATAGAAAAGACTTATTATTTGATATTAGATGACATAATTACATGATTTTAGACAAGTTACTTCACCTCTTTATACTAGAATTTTCTCCTCAAGTGGTACACTATTTGACTCGTCATATTGTAAAAATTGAGCAAATAGCTTAATTCCAGGTACATTTATTAGAATAAAAAGGTGTGTTACTGTCCTGAAACAATTATAAGAGCAGTAATTAAAATATTACTATTTATTGAACACTTACTATGTTCCTGGTACTTTTTGAAATGTAAAATGTGCATGAAAAGAGTGTCAAAGTTGAGTCACCTTTTTTGGCCTCATATTTTCCCCATAGGCAACGGAGAGATTTGGGACATAAGACCTCTCAGACCTCCACATATATTTATAACTAAATAAATAAAGTAGTAACTCAGTATAGAGTACAAACGTATCACTATGCTACACTATTCACTGTACACTATTAATAGGTGAGTGATACTGTACATATACTACAGTTCTTAATGAGAGTGATAACTATTTTAACGCTCTGGAAAGCATCTGGAAGGAATTAGGATGAAAACTGAAACCTCTTGAAAGAGGTTAGGGATAGTTTCTCAAGTTGGGCTCCCCAGGAAGCAAATACTTATATGGAGATTAGCGTGCATGAGTTTTATTAGGAAGAATGTTTGGGATCAACACCATCAGAGAGAAGGGAAGCAAGCAGGACCAAGCAGAGCAGGGCTGAGCTGTGATGGGGTCTCATTGGAATCATCAGCCAACTCCATGGGGAGTGCTCTACCTGTAATGAACCCTCAGGTTGTCCCTAGGTGACAGTTTTATACGTCTATGTTGTCCAGACATGGGTTGCAGTTTTTCCTAGGAGTGAGCAAGGTGTTACTTTTCAGAAAGGAAATTCTAAATGAGGCAGGGAACTGAGGCCTGTTTTCTGGCAAATATCTCGGCAGCTGGGCAAATAATTTCTTCAGTGCTTTTCTAAGGAGAATGTGGGCAGCCCATTACAATATCCATTATAGAGGGTTAAATTATGCAAAAGAATAAGAGTGGCAGCATTCAGAGTGTGATTATGGAATAATGGTATGAACTGGATGAATAAAGATTTGTGGGAAAGATTACTGGGGAATTTTTATTTTTAGGAAAAGAATCTTTTCTGATAGACAGCGGGGAAACCGGAGTGTTTTTGAACAGGAAAGTAACAGATTGACCCTGGTTTAACTTAAACTTTTGTGTATCTTCCGCAGTACATTTCACATATTACATATAGTCGTTTGTTAAAAAAAAAAATTCCTGCCTAGTGTTACTGTGGAAAAAATGTGCAAAACATACAGTTTCTGAAAATATAAGAAAGCTTCAAAGAATCTGCCATCAGGGTGTGGAGACATCTCAACTATCTTCAAAGGTCTCTTTAGAGTCTCTCAAAAAGAATTATGTTTTATCCCCATCATCAATTTTGTTGTGTATGGATGAATGATCTATATGACACTCACTCAGATTATATTAAAATTTGAACTAAATTTGTGGAGTTGTTAAGACAAGAACTGATATCATTTTAAAAGTAAAATTTTGAGGGTTCGAATGACTTTACAAAGGTCACACGGTAAATTATATAGTGATGACCCAAATGATTGCAATCAAATACACTTCTTACCTCAAAATTATTGTTTATGCAATCTTACCATAGAGTGCTATCTTTAAAAATGTAGCTCCATAATCCATTACACGAGAAATTGCAGATTGGTTTAATGGTCAGTGATAAGAGCTGTTAAGTGAAAAGGAGACCTACTAAGAAGTGTTATTTCCTGAGAATATTAACAAATGTAATCTTTGTGGGATAGCATTGCTAAATATAGCATTTGCCTTCTCATTACTGTTTTATTATCTTTCTTCAAGAAACTTTAAAAATAGCCTTGCATATTTTAAACTGACCGACTTTCCTGTGTTTTTCAATGCCCAGATCTAATTTCTCAGCCAAAATAAAGGTTTGCGTCAGTATTCCCTTTACTTTGATTTGTAATGTTTATATAATGTACCAGATGAAATATAACCTGAGTCATGTGATATAACATTATACATAAGCAAAATTATCCCCAAAAAAGACAAAACCAACAATCATTTTCTTTATTTGTCAGAAGTAGCTTCACTCACATGAATTAATGTGACTCAACTGTGACTGTTTTCTCATAAATTAACGTAGATCGTCTCTTTTCAATGATTTAATGGACACACATCAAGTTATATGTCTTTTAATAAGTAAATTAATTCCATTTAAATTTGTATATTTTTATACTTGTTAGGAATATATAAGATTGATTTATATTTTAAAGGAACATGATATTGAGAAAATATATTTTCTTATTTTAGAACATTTATTGGTTATATAAAGTAATATTAAACACAGCATTCTCCACAGGGTGAAACAAGGCATAATTGTTTTATCACTAGGTTAAAAATATATAAATGCAAAAAACAGGAACCATTTTGTAGAGATAGTGTTATTGTTATTAAAACATACATTCATATGTACACCTATGCCGTCTGCAGCAGAGAATCAATCGAATAAATTTCCTTTAACAGTAAACTGTTCAAAATATGCATTTCTGTTACATTTAGACATTTTATAAACCTGAGGTATCCGAAAGTGCAGGATTTAGTCATTCTAATTCATGCCCTGCAGGGCATGACATTTTAGTAATTCATATGCTTTGCTTAAACAAGGAGTAACTTTAGACTGTTAGTGAAATTTATTTAAGTATTTTTGTGACACCATAAATATGAAAACATATATATATAGATACATTTACATTTTTATTTAGTGGCTGTAAGTTATTAAAACATACAAAAAGGATGATATTTTAGATAACTATTTTAATAAAATTTTAATTAGGTAACATACTACCATGTTGACATTAATACTAATAACCAGGATTTATGTAGTGCTTAGTATAAAACATGTTGATTCCTTTACACGTAAAGGCCCATATGTTTGCACAGTATCTTCACATTCCGAATTTATCATGTAAGTTTAAGAGAAAATTACATGTTTCTGTGATATGGTCTTATACTAAGTGTATCATATATTTGTAATATTCTTCACATATTAGTTGTGAAAAGTTTATCTTTCCTCTTAGGCTTCATTAGGGGAAAATGGCGGTACCTTTGATCATACTCTCTAGCCCCATCAACATATTGGGCCCAGGGTAGATGGTTAGTAAATATTTGTTGGCTGAGTACATAAATTCTTTGTATACTGTAATATGCAAAGAAAATTTCTTAGACTATCTAGGTTGTTACAGAAGACATTAATTTAATTCAAATGATATAATGTTATTTAAATTATGCAATGAGTACATAAGTTAATAATTTCAAGTATAGTCATTTTGCAATTTGGTCCTAAAACTGTAAATATATTTAAAATCTTAAACTGTTTACAGCCATAATGTGGTATTTACACAGGAATTTTAAACAAAAGCTTAACCTTCTTATAAAATATTAAAGGTACAAATAAACCTTAACTTTGAAAACTTTCGTAATGCTTCATATTTTGAAAGCTTGTTGAAAATATAATTAATTTATATCTTTTATATAACATTGAATATGTAGAAGCACAGAGATCAGGATTGGAGATGCTTTCTTTAGTACCTAGGAACATAATATCAGCTTTTCATACATTATTTTAATATTTTTTATAGTTTGGTATATTTAGGTTTTAATATTTTTGTATTTTTTTTGGTTTGGTGACAGCTTTAAGGCTACAGCACATCACTGTGCCATGACTCTTCTCAATTAAAACATACATAAGGAAATACCTCTAAGTAACCTGTGTTCTCATCCCCACACCCTAATCTTGCCACCTCAACTCCCTGATCTCCAGTCCCAGTATCTTTCTGAGTTGTCAAAACTATCCTTTTCTGATATGGTTAATATTTGTAATGAAATAGGCTTATGTTGAGGTTATGGTGACAAGTTGATCTGCATACTGTTTAATGGACATGCTCTTAGTAGACTCTTGAAAAAATCCTAGTATAGAGTGTTTTAAGTTGCGTCTCATATTTCCAATTTAATGCTTCTTTATCTTTTCTTAAATTATTTGATCTTTGAATTGCTACTTTGTAAATAATGATGTTTACATACTTGGGAAACAAGAGTTCATTTTTTGCAATAACCCAGTTATTCTACTGCTGTGATGGAATTGTGTCCCCTCAAAATTCCTATGCTGAAGCCCTAACCCCCAATGTAACTGTATACTTTCCTCCACACACACTGAGAAAGGCCATGTGAGCACATAGCAAGAAGATGGCCATCCCCAAGCCAGAAAGAGAGGCTTCAGCAGAAACTGAAATCTGTTGGACCTTGACTTGGGACTTCTAGCCCTCAGAACTGTGAGAAAACAAATTTCAATTTAAGCCCCTCAGTCTGTGGTATTTTCTTATAGCAACAAATGCAGACTAATACTCATCCCTGAGATAATTTAATTCCATCCTGAAAAGTCTTTATTTTCCATATGCATGAGGACAGCTAAGGCATGTAAAATTTTATTTATGGGACAAGAAATGACAGTGGTAGAAATTTTATGCATTTTTATGATTTTTCCCCTCCAAAAAACCCTTAACTTGTTTAGTGCAGTACCTTTGTAAGTAGCAGAAAATGACCAATAGTAATGTTTTATTTTCAATGTCCAAGACAGGTTTTTATTTTTTAACAGAGCCAGTTAATCATCTAATAAATTTTAGAAGGTGATACATTGATGGTAACAGAACATCCAATATAAAAGTTATAATAAATTTTGTTCCCAAGTTTTGAAGCTTGGGTAAGTTTGTCAAATTCTTGGCAATTTTAACCTAATAATTTCTACAAGATTAAGAAGTCAGTACCATTTCAGGATTTTCTTAGGAAAAAGTGTTTATAGCTCTATATTTTGGAGATACAAATTTGTAATTTGCTAAATTTAAGCATCCTCTTCAAAAAATATGACTTCCCATTAGGATCATTATCCTGGAATAGTCCATAATGATGGAATTATGTAAAGTAATTCTTATTACATGCATTGCCCTTAATAGAAGATCGTTTATTTTGCAATTGCGAGTTTATGTAGTAGACATTGTAAGTAAGCTGAATATTCATCTACTAAAATAATATTTGCAAATAAATAGCCACTTTAGAGTAAAGAAGTTTGTAAGCTGAATATTCATCTACTAAAATAATATTTGCAAATAAATAGCCACTTTAGAGTAAAGAAGTTTGTTCAAGTGATATATAGAAAATCTGTTTTAAGTAAAATGTGACTAACTGGACCACATGCTCTTTACTTTTAGGGGAAAAATACAAAAAGCAAGTTAACAGGAGGAACTTAAATAAAATATGCACAGTTTTTCAGGGCATAACCTTAGGTAAATATATATTGAATACAGTCTCTTTTTCTGGAGATAGTAAACAATTATAAATCATAAAAAATAACAAATATGTTATATTTTAGTAATACCCTGCCAAGAATACAAACTAACACATTTGTAATAGGTTTCCAATATACATTGACTAAAGAAGTGTTTTTGGTTAATCCTTCCTTGACTGAAACCAGTTACCTGATTTGCTTGGTTCTATGGTACAAACAGGTTTTGTTCCATGAGTCATGAATTAGTTTTTATGTAGCTAGCTATCGTGCCCATTTCTCTAAGTGTTATTGAAGCGGTAGCATTGTGGAGACAGACGCAGTTTCAGAAAAATTTCATTTAAGAGCAAGAAATCAATAAGCTGCATTTCAGAGAATGAAAAGCCAATGGATAGTAATTTCATACATTATTCATGTAAAGACAAAGACACATAATATGAATTGGTAA
This sequence comes from Homo sapiens, assembly GCF_000001405.40. Lineage (NCBI taxonomy): Eukaryota > Metazoa > Chordata > Mammalia > Primates > Hominidae > Homo > Homo sapiens. The sequence continues at coordinate 93,346,195 of NC_000006.12, read as the reverse complement.
TAATGATGACGACAGTAGTAAAAACATGGGCCCATAAATTTTAAGTACATATTTAGGTTTTCCCCCAATCCCAATTCCTATGCACTGCCACTGTCAATCATATACACCATTTTCAGCCCTGGATCAGCTAAGGGACATAGCCTTGAAAGCTATGAAATGTAGGTGAAAGATAGGAGATTGTCTTTAAATTTGGACAAGCATTTAGTTGTTGTTCTGTTTTCACTACATGAGTTCAGAGGGAGTAAATGTTGATTATTTTATCCCTTGCTTCGTTGGTGATGAATTGAAGCAAATTTGATCCAGACAAGCAATCTGGTGGAATGATGCAGAGCCATCCAAAAAAACATCTGTACTAATCTACCAATGCAGTAAATTAGAGCTACAAGGAAAAGGCATTGATCCACAAGAATCATTAACAGTTTTAACCAACTGATCCAAGTAATAGGGTAAAGGAGAGAACACTATCAAGATCTTGTTTTTCAGATCTGTCAGTTACAACTGCTAAAGCATGATTGTTACTTGTTTGAATTTTAACTGTTTTTATGACTTTGGTTCCCTTTGTACTAGTGTAAGCAATGAACAAGGATCAATTAAGAACCCTGGGAAAAAATTACCCAAATTCTCTGCACTTAATTTACAAATAGGTCAATCACAAAGGGAGAGATAATTGCTGCAGCCTTAACAAAATTAGTCAGGGACAAGGCAGAGCAGATGATGTATGTTCTGTGGCAAAATACATGGCAGAGATGTACATACAGTCATGTAGCTGCTTGCCTTGTTTAAGACACAAGGACTACAGAGGAAGATTTGTGAAAAACAATTAGCATAGCTTTAAAGCATGCAGTTCTTAATTATCCATAGCGTGTTGACATCAGATAATTAGTGTCTTAATTTTTAATATTTCGTCATTAACTTCAGCATATAGAAAGATGCAGAACGTTGTCTGAGCATAGCATCCATAATGGAAATTGTATATGATGATAAAAACAAAACTGGTTAAGCCATATCACTATTGTATTATTCAAATACTGCTAATACTCTTAAACTCAGCACCCTTAACTCTAGTTACGTCAGACTATAACACTGTGAACTGATGTATTTATGTGTATAGACATGTATAGACAGTAATAAACATATGTTCTTTAACCTCATACATTTTATGAGTACATATATATTCCTAAGAGAATGGGCATTCGAATGGTGGTAGGGCTTAAATGTTACAGCTTTAGGAATCTTTTGCCTATAGATGGTGAGTTAATGAGTGGCCTCTCCGGGGAAGAGGAGTGGAGGTATAATTTAAAAGTGTGACAAAAAAGTTTTGAGAAAACAAATAGTTAGGATGGAAGAATCTCAGAAGCACATGACAAAGACCAAAGAGGGGTGGCCAGGCCAGTTGAATAAGGGGGCTGTCACAATTACCAAAGGAAGGGAAATTTTCTCATTAAGTTAATCATAGAATCAAGTGTCACAGGAGGTCAATAGAATGAAGACACAAGAAAGTCTACTGGATTTGAAAATTTGGAACCATGAGAAACAGTTTTTACTGATAACTTGAGGTAGAAACTATCATAATGATGTTTACCATGGTCAAAAGCAAAGCCTGACACTATGGCATACGTAGTAGAGTATTCAGCTCAATGATGGCTGAATTGAATTGTAATAGATTACTTTTTATGCTGATTTCATACAACATTTATCAGACTGGTAAAGACTTTAAGACAGAGAATGAGTCTGAATTATGTTTGGAAAAAATTACTGCCTTTGTTCTTTTCTAATACATTATCATAACCTTGTTTTCTCCTTGTTTTGACATCTCATCCTATTTTCTCACATCCCTGACATCACCAAGAACCCAAATATAGCCTCACACAAATTTCATTGTTGAGAACCTGATAATCTCAGAAATAAAGGTCATAAAAAGAAAGATGTTAATTGTACAAAGATAAACTATGCATTTATAACTATCTGTCATCTAAGATAGTATCATTAATATTAAATGCTATAACATCAAAGGACTGTTTATACACATCTAATACAGAGACTGTGTTATGCTAGATAGATGATAGATGATAGATAGATAGATAGACATATATCTCTTCTTTCTCCAGTAGATTTTAAATTATATGTCCCATATCATGTACTTGCCAATATAAAAAGTATAACCACCTAAAAATTTGGAAATTTTATTTTTGCTATGTGCAGTATTTGTTAATACTGATAAATCTTTTATTTTTAGACACATTTCCTTTATCTTTGAAAATTATATAAACAAAGAACAGAAAGCCATTATCTTATTTCAACAAATGTCAGATATTAATATAATTTGTAAGTGACTTCTGGTACACTTGCTGCATTAAACACTGGTGTTATGTTTGAAAATACAACAGCTGACCTCCTTTAGACTGCTGCCTGCCTACTTTGATGTTTCATTATTTTCTTCAATCCAAGGATGAAATGGATGAATGGATCTTAATTATAGTGTCCTGGTGACTCTTTTTTCGACCATTTTTCTGGACAAGCATCAGCTAATCTGACAAATCATGAACAGTTTACTTTATAGTTTGGCTGGGATTAAGTTACTAACTGGAACCTGCAGGGAACGCAAAAAGCAATGTCTCCTGATAAAATGCACTGGGTGTTTGCTATGCCTGTTTTCAATTTTAATTCATAACCTTTAGGAATGAAGAACTATAAACAGATAATTCTCTGACAGATATATTTTTATACACTTAAATTTATAGCACTTCAAACACAAACCCTGTATATCCAATTTACATATCTAAAATCTACATCATGTGTTTGACTTTGAATTTTTTTATTTCTGAAGTTTTCACTGTGTAAAAAGAGCTGCTTTGTAAATTTTTTTATGTAACACAATTTTAGAAATATTTCTTTCTTAGAACTAGGTTAAAACATCTGCAGTTATTATTTAAATTGCATGTAAGTGATTATAAAAATTTGATTATGTTTTAATTTGAAGTATTTTTATGTGATCCTGGGACAGATAGATTGTTGAAGGAATTTGAGTTCAAATTTTGGATGTTTTTCAAGTTTAAATTAAAAAGTATAAAGTTTTGGAAAAGTCAAATGACTATTTGAGGGTTTGTAGTAACTGTTGTAGATCAGTATTATTCAAAGTTTTCCAAAGAACAAAAAGTGTTCAACTTTTATGCTTAGGTTATTATTATTTCTTCTAATAGTAATTGATTTTTTTGTGAATTCCATATGCCATCTGCTGGATGACACGATTTTCTTGTTCAGCATGAAGTTTGTTCTTGCAGACAATATGTGTTTTCTTTACACATATCAGTAAAGACGTGTTCATTAGTTAGAGTAGGCAAATGAATAACATGTAAAGCCATATTTTCTAATAACTGTCATTTAATTGGATATTTTGTTTCATCTTTCTTCTCTTAGATGCATAATAAACATATATACGATAACTCAATATAGAAATTAGATTTAGTATCCTTCTAGGTAACTGAAATTACCCTGCCATCCTTATAAAACAGTATTTTTTATTGTTCTTACACTGTAAATAAATGTACTGGCAATAAAGAATTAACAGCACATCCAGGAGGACTTTATTTAATAATGACAATGTAAAATACTTCTTGTGCCATTCTATTTATCTAATTTATAACTCTATTTGATTACTCCAGCATGCCTTTATCTGTAAGAATTGCACCCTAGGGACTAGTCAACTTATTAATTCATCACTTGTCATTTTTTATGGTTGCAATCTCCATTATAGTATGAGCATAGAGTGATACTCTCTTCTGAAAGCTGCCAGCCAACTGGTTCCAGTCTAGGTGACCTTTTGTTTGTAACTATGGTCCTAATGGTTTTTCTATTGGCTTCTATTTCTAATAGATTACATTACAATCTACTTTTTTGTCTTATGGTATCATGATGAGGATAGGACAGCAAGAGTGAATTCCACACCTGCAATTACAGAGTTTTAAAAAGAGGAAAGACTTGCTTCAAGTTAACCTGTAGGCTTTTTAAAAAATGCCTTTTGATTTATCTGTCACCTGATCCATCAGCAATGAATAATTTTCATGGAAGGTGCACTTTAATTACATTCCCATTTGACTTGCATTATCAAGCCCTATCTAGGTAATTAATCTCACCAAGTATCCAATTTCGGCCTTTATTGCTGGCAGACAGACCTTCAGAATTATGTGTGCTTGAGTGGGTCTTGGGCCTTTTTCACCAGGCAGGCCCTGAAAGAGATCTGAGGCCTTCCAAATCTTGAAAGTATGCCTATGAATTTTTTCTCTTAGATATTGTGAATAAATTAAATTATATTTGGCATCACAAATATACTTCCATAATCAAAGAAACCTATAGATTATTATAATCATGAAAATGATATTAAAATTGAGTCACCTTTCACTTCTAGGTATAACCAATCTGCATGTCATTTTGTATGTAGAGGACCTGTGCTGAATTATTAACTGTAGCTAACATTTGTATCAGTTTGCTGGTGTAAGTTTGCAAAAGCTACCATCTAAACTTCAGCATGTTGGTTTAGTTCAGGATTTAAGGTTTATATGAATTGAAGTGAATTGGGGTTAAAGATGGTTAGATAAAATTAGAAACATTTACAATTAGCCTTGTACTTTAAATTCAGTTATATACTCTGTTTTCTATAACTTTCTTTATTCTGAATTAATAGATACCTCACTTTTTATACTTTCCTATCTTTTGATTTTCATAATTTCTATCTCTTAATTTCCGAAACTGATTAATGTCAAAGGTCAGTGATCCTAACAACTTAGTTGACACACACACACACGCACACTCAAAGTAAGTTTGAAATATAAAATTTGCCTTCTGTTGTAGTCTTATTTTATGATCTTGTGCAAAAATGCATAAATGTTTTATGATTTGTATATTTGGAAATTATGATTACTGTATATGTAATATTTTGCTTCTCTGAGAATATTTCAAGAAACCCTGGGGGTTCTCTGAAAATCAAATTAAAATATAGAGTAGATGGATTGGCTGTCTGTTTGAAAGTGACCTAAATATCTGCCATTATTTTAAGCTATAGATTGTCTGATTTGCAGAAGAGAAGGCAGTCCAATCTTTAATAGACTAAATAGGTTATAATGCTTACCCAGCAAGAATTTTGGAAAATTTGGACTGATGGTACTAGGAGAAAGGGTGAGTACTTTTCCAGTTTCCACTGTCATTCCTATGCAGGTGAGCCCATGAATCTCTGCCTCTTGCCCTGAGTTCTCTCACAGACTACTACCTGTATCTTCACAAGGCCATAGATTGTGATGGCATTTATAAGTGTTCCACTATAAAAACCAACTTTACACAGCTAACTTTGTTTTTTTTTCTCTCAATGTATAACTTTAATTGGACCTTTTGATTTTTACAAAAATAATTGAAGACATATAATATGGATTTCTAAAACATTTAACATTTCTTTGTAAAAATCACATGGAACTTTTTACCCAAGTATTAGTTTCCCTTGTCATTTAGAAATAAATCTTCAATTTTTAAAAAGTGGCTTACTTGCAATTATATATAGAAACGTTTTACTACAGGTTGAGTGTCCCTTATTTGTAATGCTTGGGACCAGAAGTGTTTCAGATTTTGAATTTTTTTTTGGAGTTTTGTAATATTTGTATTATACTTACTGTTCCCAGTCTAAAAGTACAAAATCCAAAATGATTGAATGAGCATTTCCTTTGAGCATCATTTCGGTGCTCAAAATTCTTTTTAACTTTGGAGCATTTTGGATTTTAAATTTTCAGATCGGGTATTCTAAACCTGTATCCATAATATTTCTAGAATGAAGATGTGATAATTTAATAATGTTTTCATTAGATACATTCATGATAATTGTTTACAAACCACACAGTAGGTTAACTCAGAATTTAAATTGGTCAAGAAGATTCATTACTGAATGATTTACTATTGTGAATTCTGTAGTAAAGTTTATGTATGCACATACACATATACACACGTATACATACACACTCAGATATGTATATATCCTGTTTGAATATATATGAATTCATATTTTACATTTTTAAAGAAATTGTTTTGTTTATATAGTATTGACATACTTCCTGTAATAATCAGGCATATATAGCTAAACAAAGAGTTTGTGGCTTATTAACATCTGTCCCTATGTTTATTTCCCTTTGGAACCTAGGAATCATGAGAATTTATATTTCTCAGTAATTGTTATTGTTCCCTGTAACACCATTTTGAATTGGAATATGGCGAATATAATTGATCTGACTTATATAGATAAAGGGAGAGATTATTTGTACATTGTATAGTAAATAAATAGGGTCCAGTTTAGTATTTAGGAATGATTTGTTAACCAGAAACATTCCCCAAAGTTATTTTACTTTTGTATATTCTTTAGACATATGTTTTTTCAATGTATTGACATGCCAAAAATATGTATTGCCTGGGCTGTTTACATAGTCAATAAATATATCGAGCCCAGTGGATTATTTTTCTATATCAAAATAAAATCAGTTTCTATGTAATAATGCATCTAGAGAAAAATAGACATAAAAGACATATCAGAGAAATTGGACACTGAATTTAGAATCAAAATGTTTGAATCCCAGGTTGATCAAGTTGTTTTTTGACCTTGGGCAAGTAATGCAATCTCTTTATCTTATTAGTTAATCTCAGTATTACATGAAGCAATATATGAAAAAATGTTTTATAAAATAAAAACCTCATTCAGTTATGAGTTAGTGGTGTTGATGTAGTAGAATTGAATTCTTTGCTATAAATTTAACTGTGGCAAAGTGCAGTTTTGGAAAAAGTAACAAAATAATGCTGATTATTATACAAGATTAATGTTGTCTTCAGTCTCACAATATGTAACCCTCTCAATAACCGGGACTACAAAAGAATAATAAATCGTTGACTATTCTTTAAACAAGTAATGTTGACACTTTTAAATACCAATCTCTAGGCAAAATTTTACCAATTAATGAGTTGTATTAGATATAATCAGTTTCTAAAAATGAACTTTGAATTCTGAAGACACTATCTCCCAATAAATTAAAAACTTATTTTATTGCCAGTTTTTGTATTATATGTTTTTAAAAATGATGCTAAGTGTTCATGTAAAATTTTATTCCTGTACACTTTGAGAAATTGTTATTTAATAAAATGTTGGTATCCTACGGTATTATATGTGTGCATATATTTATATAAAATTTAATATTTATTTAATTTAACATAAAATTTGATTATCTCTCTGTACATATAGATATAGCTATAAGGAGAGATATATAATATAGAGATATATAGAGATATGTAATATGTATTACAATATATAATACATATGATTTTCTTCTCTATCAGACTACAGGACCTCTTCCATCATTGCACTCAATTTATATCATGTTTTGAGGTTAGATAGTATAACTTTGGAAGACAATTATTTTAAAGGGGAAAATTGAAAAGATTCTAAAGATCAACTCTCTGTAGCTGTTTTAAGTTTTTAAGATATATTCTGTATCTCACCTCCATTAAACAAATAAAAGAATGAAAAATAACCATTTTATTGTTTCGATTATTATTTAATATTCAGGTATAATTGAGAACTTTGAGGAAATTTTAAACATTTGTGAACATCTATTTTTGAAATTTAAGCCTATTTATAGCCAAACTGGGCAAAAAAGAAACATGATTTATTGGAATACCGATTTGGAAAGAGAGTTGAATTTCAATGGTTCAGAGGTGACATAGGAATCACAAGCAGAATATCCCTCTGTAACTTTGTAGGAGCTTCCAAGGTACCTGAAAGTCACTCTCTTATTTAATATATTTGATTGGTTTTAAGCTATTGAATCCATACACACTAACACATACACCCTGCTTAGACTATTTCAAACTATTAAATGTAAAAAGCAAGAATTAGGAAGCTGAAGAATGTAAAACACAAGAAAAGAGAGAGAAGAGAGAAGCATGTGATTTCCTCAAGCACTCTGAATTTGGATGGAATTGCATATGAATGACAGCAGTCCCAGACTTTCCTTAACCGCAGAAAATTGTTTTTTCTTTTACATTTCTACTCCCAGAGGCTGTTGGTGGGGATTTGGGGGCAACATGATGATATTCTTAGGCTTTCTGTTCAAGACTTTTGTACTGTTTGATGAGTTATCTCCCTTTTGTTCTCTCCCTCCCAATGCTTCTTCTTCCCTCCCTCCTTTTCTTTGTCTCCTTCCCTCTTTTCCTCACCTCCCTCCATCCTCACTCCATTTCTTCCTTCCTGTTTGTTTTGGTGGTAAGGAACTATGTACAGAGGAAAAAGCATGCTACAATATGAAATCATTATTCCAGTGTCACAAGAGTCATATAAACGGTGAACAAAGAGCAAGCTGTTCCTGAGAATTCATTTATTTGCTTCCAGGATGCTGCTGCTTTTTCCATCCTGTGATACTTACTTCTCTTTCTGAGGTATATCTAACTTGAGAGCTCCAGGTTTGAGATCAGTGGTGAGAACAACAGGCTTGTCTGTGATACTCTACTGTTTGACATAGAAAAATATTGAAATATTTTCTTTTCCTGCCAGCTCTCTATGAGAGAAATCTCTCAATTATCTACTGAATATGTTTCAACAAATCTGAGTGAGTTTCTTTTAAAGTAGTTGTTTGAGGCCCTTTGAAAATAGATTTTCTTTCCTTTGACACTTATACATTCTTGTAAACAAAATACAGCACAATGCCCAAACTGATTTTATGTTTATACAAGTACTTTTTTTCTAAGGGTAGAATTGGTCAAAAAACTATCCACAGAAAATTAGGTCTCATTTCTAATCTATATTCCAGAGAATAAAAATAGACTTTTGTTGCAGCCTTGTGCAATCAGTGTGTAAAGACATTCACTTACTAAAAGAACTTGTGATTCTGACCTTTTGGAAATGGTGTGCAGTCACTGGAACCTTGCTTTTGATCACTGGTAATCTTTGACATTATTGAGCAACCTTATCCTTGTGGATCTTTCTTCAGTGTTCTGGGTCAGTCTCCCATGGGAGAAAAGTGGAACTTTGAATTGCGGATTTGAAAACACAGCAGCAATATTCTCTTCTGTTGTTTAAGGTATTTTCTGTGAAGATTCTCACTGTACTGACTGTGCATTCAGCCAAACACAGTAAAACAAAACCAGCAGCCACTTTTAATTAGTCATTGATACTTCCTTTTTATGTCTTTTTTCTAACTACTTCAAACTGCCACCCCTATAGAGGGCAAACAAAAGGAATAGGTTGGCTGATAAAAGCTTCTTTGTTTTTCCTTTTTTTTTTTACAAAAATAATACTTTGTAAACTATCCAATTTATATTACTCCACTGATCCTTCAAATTTATGGTAAAATTGTTAAGTTGGAAGAAGGATGCCATTCAAAGCAAGAGGTTACTCTTGGTTACTTGAGCAGTGGCTGCTATTGGAACTGGTATTGGGGATGAACTATTCACTTCTGTTCTTAAAAGGGTAAAAGGAGCTGGGCAGGGTGGCTCATGACTGTAATCCCAGCACTTTGGGAGGCCAAGGCGGGCAGATCACAAGGTCAGGAGATCAAGACCATCCTGGCTAACACAGTGAAACCCCGTCTCTACTAAAAATAAAAAAAATAGCTAGGCGTGGTGGCACGTGCCTGTAGTCCCAGCTACTCGGGAGGCTGAGGCAGGAGAATCACTTGAACCCAGGAGGCAGTGGTTACAGTGAGCCAAGATCGTGCCACTGCACTCCAGCCTGGGCAACATAATGAGACTTCATCTCAAAACAACAACAACAACAAAGTGTAAAAGGCTTTGAACAGTTGTACATTTGACTGCCCACTACACTTTCAAAGTGAGATACACATGAAATCCAAGCAATTTGTAACATATGAGATATGAAGAGAATCTGAAACTTTCATGTATACCTTGCATTTGCCTCGTTTTCTGATGCTAAACTCATTGAAGAGGTTGTGAGAAATATTTTATTGGGCAACCTTAAAATATAAGTTATGTGATGATTATATATTATTTTTCTTTCTTGTATTAAAATACTTTTATTCTAGTAGTAGGGTAGCAGTAGGCTTGAAAGTTTTAGTGCTCAATGTACTACATGAACTATTTTTTAAACACTACTTTAAAAAGGCTTTTAAAGGTACATCAATTATAATGAAACATTATCCAATATGTTTTGGGTACCAAGGATAGTACTTGTGCCTCTCTTGTAGGTTATAGCAAGAAAGATTCATTATATGTCTCTCATATACTGGATACATGTTCAGATCTCTATCCAGCCATTTCTGGATTATATCAAGAAATGAATTAGATAATTTCACTATGTGTGATTTGAATTTTAATGATCTCTTTCTAAATAGAAAATTTTCCATTTGTCTATTTAAATTTTCACAAAATACAAAGAAAAATAATGTAATTTATTGTTACTCATACCACAATAAGAAGCTAATAAGGATTCAAAGAGTGTAGTTTCCATGTCTGTATTTTAATTGTTATAGATAGATAGGAATGGGATTAAAAATTTAAAAAAAAAATGAAAACTGTGGATGATTATTACTGGTTAAGTTATGGGTCTAACAGGTTATTCCTTTTTGCTCCTATTTTCCCACTACTATTCTACATCTTTGCTGGTGGTCTCCCTTCTAAAACACAGGTGCTTTTTAAAAATATAATTATTTCACTTTTTAAAAAGTATTTCCTTATGTCCTTAATGATACTGAGAACTTTAACAAATCCTTTGGAATTATAATATAAATACCAATGAAACTGTAAAATTTGAAATATAATTACTGTGCCAGGTTTGGTCAGGGCAAAACACTTACATTACAACCCTACACGGATAGTGTATCACATATGTTGATGATTATGTTTTACATTAGATGAAAAATCTCATTTTGTTCTAAAACTAAAAACAGAAGTAGAATAATTTTTATAATATTTCTTGAATATCTCCCATTTTTGGAAGCAGAAAAAAGTAAGACTAGATTGACGTAAAATACATTGAAGGATACATTCTGGTCTGTTAACACTTAATTGACCCTCTAGGAATCAAACTTGCGATAGTTTTGTGAGGAATATGTTATTACTCCAAATGCTGAGAGAAGTTAAACAAATTGCCGAAGGTGATAAAGCCCATACAGTTGCTGGGTGAGACAACACCTGAGGTTATATGGGTCTGTGGCCTGTCTTGTTGCCTTCTAGGTTATTTATTTCTTCCTGTCCTTGATTTTCACACTTGTGTTGTCCTATTTCTGGGGAAAAAAAATCAATTCTAATAAAAGTGATGCATACTAATACTGGAAAATTTTAAAATATGAGCTACACATCGCAATCTTTACTAGTTTTGGATTAAGTTTAAAGGTGAAACATGCAAATATGTTCATGGTTATCAGAGAATGAAATGGATTTGCATCACTCGTTTAACCTTGATATTTGTGGATTTGAGTCAGAATAGCCTAGTTATAATGCATGGAAAAGCCACAGGGATACAGTTTTCTATGCACAGTAGCAGAAATGCTAACACCTTAATGTGCTTCTTTGGAGATATTTTTTTCTACATTATATATTAAGTTTGTTCTCTAGTAGTTGGAAAGTGTTTTAGATTGTAGGTATTATATATGCTGGTTAGAGAATTATCTTTAGAAATATAAAATTAGTTTAAGTTCCTAATAGATTCTGGCTATTAGATTTTTGTTGGATGCCAAATTTGCAAATATTTACTCCCATTCTGTAGGTTGTCTGTTTACTCTCTTGATAGTTTCTTTTGCTGTGCACAGGCTCTTTAATTACCTCCCATTTGTCAATTTTTTTGTTGCAGTTGCTTTTGGCATCTTCATCATGAAATCTTTGCCAGGGCCTATGTCTGGAATGGTATTTCTTAGGTTATCTTCCAGTGTTTTATAGTTTTAGGTTTTACATTTAAGTCTTTAATCCATATTGAGTTTATTTCCGTATACGGTGTAAGGAGGGGGTCCAGCTTCAGTCCTCTGCTAATCAGTTATTCGAGCACCATTTATTGAATAAATAGTTCATTCCCCACTGTTTGTTTTTGTTGACTTTGTCAAGGATCAGATGACTATAGGTGTGCAGCTTTATTTCTGGGCTCTCTATTCTGTCTAGTTTTGTACCAATACCATGCTGCTTTGGTTACCATAGCATTGTAATATAGTTTGAAGTCTGGTAACATGATGCCTAGAATTGTCCTGAGTAAGTCAGCTCTTTTTTGGTTCATATGAATTTTGAAATGGTATTATCTAATTATGTGAACAATTTCATCGGTATTTTGATAGGAATAACACTGAATCTGTAAGTTGCTTTGAGCAAATGGCCATTTTAACAATATTGATTTTTTCCTATCATTTAGCATGGAATGTTTTTCTATTTGCTTGTGCTATCTCTCATTTCTTTCAGCAGTGTTTAGTAATTCTCATTGTACAGATCTTTCACCTGTCTAGTTTGCAGTATTAAACAATCCTATTACAAAGTGGGCAAAGGACATGAAGAGATGCTTTGAAGAGAACATACAGGTGGCCAGCAAATACATAAAAAAATGCTCAACATCACTAATCATTAAAGAAATGCAAATCAGAATTGCAATGAGATCTCCCAACAGTCAGGATGATATCATTAAAAACTCAAAAAATAACAGATGCTGGTGAGGTTTTGGAGAAAAACTTATACACTGCTGGTGGGAATGTAAATTAGTTCAGCCATTGTGGAAAGCAGTGTGGTGATTTCACAAAGAACTTAAAACAGAACTATCATTTGATCCAACAATTCCATTATGGGATATATAATGAAAGGAATATAAATTATTCTGCCATAAAGAGACATGCATGCGTATGTTCGTCACAGCACAATTTACAGTAGCAAAGTCATGGAATCAACCTAAATGACTATCAGTGTTAGAGACTGCATGGAGAAAATGTGGTGCATAAATGCCATGGAATACTACATAGCCTTAAAAAAGAATGAGATCATGTTCTTTGAAGCATCATGGATGGAGCTGGAGGCCATAATCCTAAACAAATTAATGCAGGAAAAGAAAACCAAATGGTACATGTTCTCACTTACAAGTGGAAGCTGAACACTGAGTACAGAGAGACACAAAGAAGGGAATGACAGATATCAGGGCTACTTGAGGGTGGAGTTTTGGAGGAGGGAGAGGATCAGAAAAAATACCTGTCAGATACTATGCTTATTACCTGGGTAATGAAATAATCTGTACACCAAACAACCATGACCCAAAATGTACCAATAAGACACCTGCATATGTACCCCTGAATCTAAAATAAAAGTTTAAAACGATATAAATTTAACATAAAAATAAATATGAAATTAGTTTCTATTATTTTGATGAATTTGAGCCAGCATTTCTTATGTTTAAATTAATACTCTGCACAAGTTAATTGCTTTAAATCTGCCATATCACGATGTTGATCATATCAGTTTATTTGAAATTCAAAAATACTCTAAATCATATTTTTTACTTAATTGTATTGAAATTTTAAGGCATTTTCTGAAATAGCTCTTGCTTTTGTCTTCAGAATTTGAGATGTATTAATCCAATGTGCACAATAAACAATGTTTTTATAAACTTGTTTACTTTTGTCATGCACATATATATTACCATATAGCACAAAAATTAAATTTAACATTATAATTGAGTTCCTATAAATTGCATATAAAAATATATAAGCCACTTAGCAAAGAGAGAGATGGAATTTGTAATATAAGTATGTATCAGATAAAAGATTACAAGTATACAAAGCTCATGTTCTGTAGATAACTGTTCATTATTTATAGTACTTACTAGAAATATAATTTGCCTGAGTTGGGGTGAAAAGAGTTATAGTTACCATTATTGTACTTATTTTATTTTATTAACATTTTTATCAAATTATTGCTTTTCTCAAGTTTTTTTGTTTATTTTTTGCTTGCTTTATTCAGTTCTCCTTGTCACCTTCCACCGGGTCCACTGAGCTCCACTGTACTACACTTAATCTTAGCCATGATGCTGACAAGCAATTGAGCTTCACTGTAAATACACTTTGAAACCAATTCTGTGAGAATATTTTTAAACAAGTGCTATTACTAAAAGTCTTATCAAAAGTCAAGTACCTGTTTCCCGTGATATCAGTGAACAACAAAAAAGTCAAGCACCTAACAATGTCAGGTGTGTAGCAGTTGTATAGTATGTATTTTTCTGAGAAAATAGATTAATATATTATTTCTATTGAACTGAACTGTGTGAGGCAATGTGGCATGTTGTCTACATTTGCCTTAAAGCAGAGTTATATAATGAAAGCCTATTAATTCAGCCTTTGCTTGTGGATGCTATGAAAAGATAAAATGACATAGTGGTTTACAATAGTAGCTGAAAAATAGAAAGTACGTATCTTTGAAGAAATAATTAATTGATAAACTAAACAAGGTATAATATGGTTGAATTGCTATTTGCCACACACATACAAATTACATGGGGAAGTTATTGGATGAGAAAGCAACATTGCCTCAATTGTTTGTATATTTCATGTAAAGTAATAATTTGTCCTTAGGTATTCAGATGATTTCCTTAACTCTCCATGATCATTTCTTTGAAAAAATGTTTATGTGTGTACATGAAATAAATTTAGTATGCATTCTAGACAGAATCTCTGTTTCTAAATAAGTTATAAATCAAAAAGTAAGACTCATGTCTAGGTTTGGTTTTTAAAAGCTCTGAATTTTTTTTTTTGTATTTTTCTGCTAAATATATAATCTGCATATTTCAGGAAGGCATGTATTCAGGAGTTGCAGAATTTGGAAAGGGATTAAAGGTAAAGAAAACTGAGAAAAGACCTTTGTGTTTAGCAAGAAAGATATTATTGAAGATCTTAAAAAACACGATTTTATTATAGTGGTGTGACTATATATGTGGAATATAAAACTAGGGAGACTTGTTTAGGCCATCTCTGTTTACTTCTTTTCTTAAAATACAGTGATATCCTTCATTTTTAATATTGTAACTTATACTTTTGTTGCCAAAGTTATAACTAAACTTTTACAGATTTACTGCATTTCCATGTTGCTAATTTTACAATTTGGCATCTGCAATACTTTTCTCCAAATAGCCATTAGTTTATCAAAATGTTTGACATATATGCCCACTCTTGACTGTGAACCTAAACAGACCGATCATCTAATGAAAAGCCAGTTAAGAAATGTTCAATATTGTGGGTAGGTGTGCATGTTCTCCATACAGCAAAGTCCTAAGATCAGTTATAGAGTAAGGAGTTAATAAATGCTTTACACCTTTTGAAATGCCTTCTCAGCTGATACCCAAGGTAACATAAAAAAGAGAAAAGTAAATATTTTGCCCTTGGAGAAAATGCTGTTGATTGGCTTGGATAAATAACTTTCAGAAAGGAAATCAGCATATTGAAGAGCTATCTGCACCCCTATGTTTACTGTAGCACTATTCACAATAGCGAAGATATGAAATCAACCTAAGTATCGATCAACAGGTCAATAGATTTTTTAAATGTGGTATATATCTACATAATGGTATACTATTCAGCCATAAAAAAGAAAGAAATCTGGTTATTTGTAGCAATGTTGTTGAGCCTGGAGGACATTATGTTAAGTGAAATAAGTGAGGTACAGAAATACAAATACTACTACATGTTCTCACTTATATGTAAGGGCTAAAATCTTTAATAGAAGCAGATAGTAAAATAGTGGTTACTGAGAAGGTTAGGGGAGAGAGGAAGATAGAGGTTGGTTCACATACACAAACTTATAGCTATATAAGAGAAATAAGCTATGGTGTTCTATAACACTGTAGTGTGATATAGTTAACAATAATTTATTTTATATTTTCAAATAGCTAGAAGAGAGGATTCTGAATGTTCCCAGCACAAGGAAATGATATTAACAAATGTTTGAGGTAATGGATATGCTAATCAATCTAATTTCATCATTACACATTCTATACTTATATCAAAATATCACTGTGTACCTCATAAACATGTAAAATTATTATGTGTCAATTAAAAAGAGTCACTTTCATCCTATGATTACCATTTTGTGTACTGTTTGAAAACAATTTAATTGCTATGTTTGACATTGTATAACAAGAATTATTTCAAATTCTTTAGTTATCTCCTTCTCTCATTCCACTGACTGTGGCATTTTTCTCAATTCCTCCAAAATATAGTTTTTCTTCTAACTAGTGTAAAAAGATAAACCTGCTTATACTTTAGGTGAGAGTTTACATTGCTAATAATTAATTAGTATTCTTGTTCAGTATCTTCTGCTCCAAGAATGAGTCTTTGTTGTTTTTGTTTTTTTTAATTTCACTTCAGCTGATGAGTGTAATGGAAAGAAGATGGGCTGTGAAGCAAGAGTCTTGTTTTCACTTTCCAGTTCTGCCGCAGTCTCCTTGTATAAAGTAGAACATATGTATAACAAAAGTATTTATACAAAATATAATTTAAAATATTTGAGACAATAAGATTATTTGAGAAAATCAATGAAGTTACTAAGTTTATTTAGTCAGTCATACTCTATAATGGATACAATGTATTCTTTAAGCAATGTCTCCTTTTTTAAAAAAAGTATACAAAGAATAGCTGTGTTGGAAAAGTATTTGAAAAATCAAAGATGTCAGGATTCATACACAGTTCATGGCATAGCACTCATGTTCTTTATTAGGTGTGAAGTAAAATTCTTGGAACAGTTCTTGGCCCATATGCTGTTGCTAGTTAGCATGTCTAAAAATGATAATTGTATTTTCATATTTACATTAATATTGCTTATAATCTGGCTTATATACTAATTAACAAAAGCTTTTAAACTTTCTGTTTGAAATAAATAACGATTAGCAATTAAACATTTCAGTTACTTCTGATTTTAAAAGTATGATAAATGTTTAGTGGCCAGTGTCTCATTCAGAACTTGTAGGTCATACTCTGCAGTTATTTATCTTTGGTGTGTATTACTTATATTATTACAATGCAGATCTGAAGAAAGAGGATTTTCATTCAGTCTGACACTAAAATATAAAATTCTTAAAGGAAACAAAAGTTAAAAGTTATTGGTAATGAAAAAAATACCCTACATCACTTTATTCACTTTAGTTCCCTGAAGAGTTAGTTATTTGTGTGTATATGTTATTGTTAAAGTTATTTTTAATATTAACAGATGAATATGGATTTTTATAATGCAGTTTTGGTTAATTCATTCTGCAAAATGTGACCTTGACTTGCTGTTTTTCTCTTCCCTCCTTAATAATGTTATCTTTAAATTAGAAAATAGTACTTTTCATATTTGGTCTATTTTATTGTATAATCAAAGTATTATTTTGCCCATGTAGTCTTTTAAGGAGACCATGCCATTTTCTATTCCTCTTTCTCCCTATTATTTAAGATATGTGCTTAGAGGGAGCACATTGATTATGTAGGGCTTCTATGAGAATTCGCTAATGAGAATATATTATTACCCAGATTGAATAGTGCCCCTTTGATGCATTAAAATTGCCATGACTCAGGAACCAATGTCCTAGGAGAAATCTTGGTATCCAAGATAATAAAGTCAGGTAAGAAAGACCAGATTACCTCTATTTTGGGTGAGGAAAGATGATTAAAGTATGACTTATGATGCACTTTAGAAAAGTGTGGATTCCATCATGCCAAAACATTTCCCAGCTGGCTAATACTTGAAAAGTCACCAGTGAAATGTTTTCCCTTAAAACTCTCATATATTGTTGTATCATTCAAAGATATTTATTCAGCATTTCACATGTTTCATACATTACTCTAGATGCTGGGAAAAGCTATAGACAAAAAAAGAAATCTCTGTCTTTAAAAAGTTTCTAGTAGAAGTGGAGTGCAAGTAGAACAGACAGAAATATACTAAATGTGTAAAATATAAAAAATTAGATGATGTTGTTCAAACAAAATACATAGGAAAGCCATGAATGGAGTGTCAAGGGATTACAGTTTTTAAAAATTTCCAGGAAAGGCTTTATTGGAATGACGTTTGAATAAAGGCCTGAGTGAGATATGAAAGCAAAGCCAAACGGAAGAAGAGTGTTCTGGACAGAGAGAACAGCCTGTGCAGGTCCCAAGGAAAGAGCATGTTTAGCATGTTCAGTGGGGGAGATAAGTGTATCTGGTGTGAAGAGAGAAAGGAGGAGAGTAGAATAAATGGAAGTTGGGTGTTAACAGAGTTGCAAGGACACACTGTGTTAGACCTTGCAAGTCATTATAACCACTGGCTTTAGATGAAGACTGAAAGCCATTGGAGGGATTTAAACGGAAGAATGACATGAATATACTTTCATAACCATCTCATTAACAATCTCGCTGCTGTGTTAAGAATAGCTAAGAGGGGTTCTCAGGAGCAAGAGATTAGTTTAGGAGGCTATTGCAATAATCTAGAAGGTGGCTTTCACTAGGGTGGTAGCAATGGAATGGTAGGGAGTAGTGAATTCTGAATCCATTTTGAATACAGAGTCAACAAGATGAGCACACTGAATGTGGAATATGACAGAAAGACAGTGGCCAAGGGAAGCCTTGAGTATTTTAAACCTATGCAACTTTTGAAAAGATGAAATAACTAGTAACTCTAGACAGAAAAATTTGTGGGAGAGACAGGTTTGAAGAAGTTTAGGAACTCAGTTTCTGTCATGCTATGTTTAAGATGCTACAGTTGCCTCTAGTTTATGTGTGATATTGGGGTTAATTATGTAAATCTGGAGTTTTCAGCATCGACATGGAATTTAAAGTCATGAACTAAATGAGATAAAAGGAAGTGAGTATAAATAGAATAAAAACCAGGGTTGAGGTGTGAGTGCCAGGGCACTGGATGATGAAGAACAATCAGGAAAAGTGACAGAGAATGAATGGCCATTGAGATAATAGAAAAATTCAATTTGATGCTCAGAAAGCAAAGAAAGTTATTTCAAGGAGGAGGCAATGATCTGTCCCAAATGTTGATAGCTCTGCAAGGTGAGGAGTGAGAACTGAACTTTGGATATAATCAATTCAGTATGAGTCTAGTGGCCATCAGAACATCTCATGTGTCTTAGACTGCACTGATTTATAGAGTAAAGGTGGCTGATACTCAGCTCTGCTCGGCACATGCCACTTCCAACTGGGAATATTGTGCCCAATTCTAGATAGCACAGATTAACCGTCATACAAATGTATTTTAAAGTGATGGGAAATATGAGGTAACTCACAATCATGTAAGATGGATACCAGTTGAAAGAATGGGTTTGGCTAAGTTGGAGAAAACTAAGAAGATACAACAATAAAAATTTGCAGCTTTATATCTTAGAAAGTTCTTTCTTATATTCAGTTACAATATGTCTTTCTGTTGTTTCTGCCCATTCATTGATGTGCTTAATAAATATTAAGCACCTGTCATGAGTCATTCTGCTCACCGCTGGATGTGTGTTAGTATGAAATAGACAAGATTCCTCTGTTCACAGAATAGATTCTCTGAAAGATTTTAGTCCAAACACGTCATATGCTATGATGGGATCCCAGGATCTATTCCTGTATTAGCAGGAAACTCACTTGCTAAAAACAATGAAGAGGAGAGACCTTACCTTTCAGTTTCAGTGAACAAATAATTTCTTAGTTTTAAAACTTGCTTCTACTTATAATTTTCAGTGAAACTGGAAATCTTCACATAGAGATAATTTTAGGTCACTTTCTAGTCAGCCTTTCTCCTAAGTAAGTTCTAGTTATGCCATTCATTAGATATTTAACAGTTAACACAAGAAACTATCTTCGTATATTTTATATAAATAGAGCATTCATTTAAAATCACTCTTTAATATGTTTAAGATGACACTGAATGTTGTGCAGTGTTTTATTGAAATTAGGGTTGTGATTTTACTTGTTTGTTGAATACTTATTGAGTGCTTACTGTATGCCAGGTAATTTGCTGAGGGCTGGATATTCAGTGGTGACATGAACATAGCCTCTCATGGAACTTAGACTATAGGGAGAGACAGATTTTAATCTCTTTCCTTTTTACTTCCCACTATTACCACGGCATAATTCTTTAGCGTTCTTATGAGATTTTCATTACATGAATATTAGACTATGAATAGAATTATCTGCTATGTAACTAATGTTTGGTGAACACAGCAGGCAGTTTATAAATCTAGAATTATTATTCTTGACTCTTTGTTAGATCTCATTGATGGCGAAGAGAGGATGTTGTGTCATTTTTTTCTCAGCAAGTGTGGGCATCAGCACTACATCTATCTTGAGCCAGCAGAGCAAACAGATAATTATTTAATATCCTGTGTTTGATGATAACCATTTTTCTTGGCAAATGTTTGAATTAAGCAAGTTTTCTTTATTGAAATTTTCAAGATATGAAGTCCTTCTTTTTAGCCACTTAGATATATTTAGAAACTTCAAAGTGTGTCTAGTAAATATAAAATATTAAGTATACCAGTAGATTCGTAACAGTTTTTTACTGCACTGCAGTTAACCTTGGTTAAATGTACACCTGTTTTCAATACCAAGAAAAGTGGTGGTTCATTTTGTTGGAATTTTTAAAATTTCCTTCATTTATCTTATCTATTAT
This sequence comes from Homo sapiens, assembly GCF_000001405.40. Lineage (NCBI taxonomy): Eukaryota > Metazoa > Chordata > Mammalia > Primates > Hominidae > Homo > Homo sapiens. The sequence continues at coordinate 93,325,597 of NC_000006.12, read as the reverse complement.
TTTTACCTTGATTCTCTAGGTAGATATATTTTGGTAAGATTAGAAAATGTAGAAGGTGGGAAGGAGTGGAGTATAGTTGGATGATAGATATTAAATTTTACTATTTTAAACAAAGCTTACAATTACAGAAAATTTTAGACAATTGATCATAGAAGATATTTATTTTAAGTCACTTGCGCATCACTGGTTTGGCCTATATTATGTAGCTAAATAAGCCTGGCTTTTGTTTTGATAAAGAGGCATATATCTTTTTAGAAGGACTTGGTGATGAACTCCTCACTTAAATAATTTTATTTATTAAAAAAGAATAAGTGAGATAATGCTGAAGTTTCTATAATATAGAAAACACTTAGGACCAATTGTTTCTGAATTCCATTGATTGTGTCCTTTGAATTTAGGGTTAAAATTGAGCTATAGCTTATTTTGTAACAAGTGTTTCCCTATATGCATATATTATTCCTGGCAATTCTAAATATTTCTTCAGCTGGTAGAATCTTCACTCAGTCTCTGTCTGTACACCCACTCTCTCTCATTCTCCTCCCATACACTCTCATTTTTTATACTACATAACCCCAGTTTTAGAAAAGGTAGGTTCACTGGAAAAAAAATGCCTTTTTTCAGGATTGTTATTAATAAGTACAAAATAAAATAGTGAGTGAAAAATCTATCAATAAAAGGCTTGCACATATCCCTTCTGCCCTCTACAATATGAACCTCTTTTGCTTCTATTCTTACTATGAATACACAGAAACATTTTACTCAGCTTCCTGGCCAAGGCCTTGATTTGTAAAAAATTATGAAGTTCTCAATGCTTTTATGTTTGTTTGCCTTGGTGATAAATAGTGAATATTTGTCTTTCTCTGTATACGTGTTGAAGGCACCCTTGATTCCCTCTTTTCTTGATCATGTTTCTGCAGTCTCAAAGAATGGAATTCCCCTACTTGCTGTAGCACACTTACACGCATATTTTTTTAGAGTGTGGCAACTGATATTATTTAAGAGGTAGGATACATATGTTGAGAGGGTCTAGTTTCCTTCTTCCAGATTTAACTTATTGTGCACTTACATGTTGTATGAGTTCTGTGATCCCATTTTTGCCTCAAGGCCAATCCTGCTAGATTATTGTATTTCATGCCTTTCATCTGCCCTTGGGTTTACAAAAATCTAATAACGGTTTATAGATGACTTCCCCAAGCTAGAAAATCTAGTGGCACTGATGTTTATGAGGATCAATTTTATTTTCAGATAGAAACTTTTTTAAATTACCTGAGATTTTCTTTGCCACTCTTGTATAATCAGAGCTCAATTAAAAAGATTCTGATGAATATTATGAGGATTTAATTAGAGGCATATTTTATGTTAGTTAATATACTCATATGTTGGTAAAGGAAGTTATCCCAGGACTAACTTAATGCAGATTTTTAAAAAATCAGTCTATCCATTAACAGTAATTTTGCAGTATTTTTGTAAGGAAACACATCAAAAGACAGTAGCAATACTTCTGCCTTAGGTGAAAAATCTCAAAAATATTTGTTGTGCTCAAAAGAGTCTGTCTGCCCCTTCATGGATGGTTTAAGATAACTTCTGGCAACGGAAAGCAGACCACTGATAATACTTGGAGGTAGTTTTGTATTCATGATTTAATACATGTGAAATATGTAATGGAGGGTCTCCTGGAGTTAAGATTTTAATATTTCAGTTGTAGATAACTCTCTTTGAAAACATAGCTTTTTATACAGATTTGGTGTGAAAATGTTTAGTTGAGCAGATGGAGATCCAGCTGGTAGAATATATGTTTGTCAGGGTATCTGGCATTTAGCTACATCCAAAAATGATATCAAACTGAAAGATGCTAAAGAGCAGCACTGTATGAAAGCCAGTATGATCAGTTAAGGGTAGAGTCCTTTCATTTTTGATTTCCTAACCTTGTAGAAATACATTTTAATCCAGATGGAATTTTTAATTTTAAAAATAAAATCTGAGAAAATGTAAATAAAATTGTCAAACATCTGCCTTTCCAAAATCTTGATTCTAGTAGGCCAGGAAAAACATGCTACTTTGTGTGTTAAAACTTAGTACCTAATGAATAGTATATATTTGTACGTGTACAATAAACATGCACATTTCCCAGAACTTTATATTCTGTATATTTGGTATCATTATTTTGGTTTCTTGAGCTAAACTGTAAGAAGTGGTGGATGGTAATCGAGTAGAATATTAAGAGAAAGAAGGAAAGAATTCGTGGAAGAATGACAAGAGTCCTAAATGCACTCGAAAACGTTTTACCCCATTGGATTCCAGTATTTAAGTCCCCACTGAGGTGGATAAAAGGCCAGCTTAGCAAGGAATCATGTGTTTACTCCTAAATTTTAGAGCCTTTACATTTAATTGATTAATACAGTCTGCTTATTTGTTTCTTTCATAAAGAGACGAATATGTAGAAATAAATTATTTTGTTAAAATGCTTAAATATGTATAATCAAAAAATTCTATGTTATGCATTTGAAGTTGTTTATTTTAATTGAAAGCAATTGAGCAAAACCAAAAAGTTTTCACATCTTTTTTTTGTTTCCCCTTTGAATACCATATTAATAAAATCTTCATTCAAACTTTTAAATTAAGTCCACTGAAAATGCCCAACTTGATTAACTGCTATTCTATGTGACCCTCAAAAAGTGATAATTGACATATTCATTCATAGTGCTAGTAAAACACACACACACGTAAAGCACAGATGGGGGACAGTATGCTCCCTGAATCTGTAAAACTGCTTACCATAGTGAGTAAAAGTATCTGTAGGTGACTTTTGGAAGGCTTCCCTCAGGGATTTATTTGAATCACTAAATCCAAAGAGAATATTTAATCCCTATTTGATACAATGAGTTCATGAAAATGGGTCCTAATTTTGAAGGTATAATCAGAGTTAAATAGTCACTAGTATGCCTCTCTAATTCAGTCATTGATATAACCTGAGCTACGTGCACTGCTTTAAAATATTCCCTTACCAAAAACTAAAGCTGGGAAGAGCATGTTCCTTAGGAGCATGATTTAGTAAATCCAGACTTAGAAATTAATTAATGAAGAGTATGCCTCTGCAAAACTCCAGTATATTTATCAGAAAAGCACCCCTCTATGAAATAATAAATCTTTTGGCCTTCCTGGGGGGCTTTATATTTTATAAAACAAGACAAAAAAAGGAATTGCTTGCAGTAGATTTTAAGCGATACAAAATTTCCCTCTAAGTTTTTGTTGGAATATTTCTTCCTAAATTTTAAAAAGAATAGTAATTAATGCTATATTTTTTCTTCAAATTCCATCTTAAACTTTACTTCTTTTATCTCACTTTCCTACAGTGTAAATTATATAGTATACTTTACAGATATATAATTTTAAAATTACATACAGTGTAAATTTTATGCATCTGTATATATGTGTATACATACATGTTTGCGTGTTTATAAAATATGTGCGTGTATGCATCTGTACAGTGTGAAAGCCTGTGTGCTTAGCTTATGACATATTGAGCCTTGTATTGTTTTTTACATTCATTATTCATTCATTAATTCAATGAATCTTCACAGTGCTCTATAACGTAAGTAGTATTAATGTCCTCATTATAAATATGAAGAAATTAATGTATAAAGAGTTTGAATAACCCAAGGTCGTACAGTGGCAGTAATCAAACCCCAAATTGTGCTCTTAATCAAAATGCCTTATGGCTTTTTCTAATTTTCTAACATTTCTAAAAGCCAACATTAATCTCAAAAAGAGATAGTTTGGACATTTACCTGAGTAACTGACCAGTTAGTTTAACAAATTCCTGTAAAACTGATCAATGAATGTTGATGCAGTGTGGAGTTGTGTGGACCACAGGGACCTGGAGAGGGAATATCTCCTTTATAAGGAGTAATCACTTCCCTGTTCTTGCTGAAGATGCGTAAGTGCCCAGTGGGGTCAGAAATGTCAATTCCAGAAGTCTAGTCAGAAATCTAAATTTGTCAGTGAAATTTCAGATATTATAATTTTTGTCTTGTAATTAAACTTAATAAACAAACACCACCTTAATTGTGTCTAACAAAACAAATATAGAGAGAAGAAATAAGAAGAGCACTAATTAGTGAGCTCAGTCATATCCAGACATTGGAGATTGAGTTCCAAGGATAAACAGACTCTGAGACAGAGATACATATGCAGGAATTTTATTGGGGAATGCTCCTGGGATCAATGACTCACCTATTGTGATTGATATATACATAATCAACAAATAATATATTACTGTTGCCTACTGTTTGATTCTTCTATTCTCAAAATATCTTCTCAAAGTTGATATTAGGTGCTTGTTACAATGCAAATACTGAGAACCACACTCAGGAAGTTTTGATTCTGTAGACAAACTTGGTGGAGACCAGTTATATACATTTTTATAAGTATGCAGGTAATTCTAATGATTTTAATGCATATGCCACATATTGAGATGTACTGATTTAAAAGAGACATATATAAATACTAATTCATATATTTTCTCAAGGGTATGAATTGTATATTGTAGATCTTTTTATAAGCCCTCCTCATAACACGTGATAAGTAGATTGAATTTACTGCTATTTTATTTAGCAATTATTACATGATACAAAATATACACAAACTATCTTGCTAACTATATAACATTTTATAAGTGAAATTATATTTCAATGAATCAAAATTATTTTTGAAAATTTCTGACTTGGTAAGCTCCTACAATCCCATATTTCAGCATTTTAATGCTGCCTCAGGACTTGGCTAATTGTGTTGGGCCATCTTGTCTCTAAAGCATTAAATACTAGCAAAGCTGTGTAAGCTTTAAATATAATTTTCCAAATTATATTTTCCCATGAATGCTTATGAAATTTCATGTTATCAAAATTGCAATAAATTTCTTTATTATGAAATATACTTCCCTTAGCTTTAATTGCACCTCTGACCTGTGTCTAATAGCATCTTTTAAAACCATGAAAGAGAATACTAAGCATTATACTTCTACAGAACTTGTTTTTTCTAGCTACATTCTTAAGTAAATTTAGTAAATATGAAAGGGAATTGTTTTTCTCCCAAGTGAAGTAAAATTGCACTACAAATCATTTTCTGCTAATGATTGTATTCTTTTAAAATAGCAAAGCATATTTGGTCTCTAATCACTTTGCCTATCATTGTAATGTAATGTTAATTTTAAAGAGTTCTGTTTTGGAATGAAAAACTAATATACTGAATCTTTATTCGAAATGTACTTATATATTAAAATGCTTTGCTAAGCTTTTGTTAAATCTGCAGAATATTCCAACATGCTGAAACTTCTTAATATTAAAATATGACATTTATTAAAGCACTTCTGAGTAAAATAAAACCAGGCATGAAAATATAATATCAGATACAATTTCTACAGTTTCACAAGGAGGTTAGCTAATCAATGAAATGGATCAGTGATTTCTCCTCCTTCAATGAGCAGCCCATTAATACTAGCACAAAATACATGCTAGACAGTTCACCACTGAGTCACATCTTTAATTATCTATCATACTTTCTTATTATAATATTTTATCCAATTTATCCCTAAATATCTAGTAAATCTGTACTAGTAAGAGGGAGCCTCAGCATAGAATATTTTTCAGCTTACCACAGAAATTGAAAAGATATATAAAATCAACTTTTATTGCTGTATAGATATTATTTTTCATGTGAATTTATAATTGTCAGTTATCAATTATTAAATAAAGGGTATAATATTTGATTATGAATATATGTAATCTTTCAGGAAATCTTATTGAATCTACCTTCCAAATATTTGTAAAACATGTGTATATGGAATATGACCACTTTCTTCACTTCCACAGCTATGTAGCCCCCAGCATTTCCTATCTGGATTACTGCAAAACTTCCTAGTAGGTCTTCGTTGTTCTATACTTGACTCTACATCCAGTTCTCAATCACAGCAGTTACATCCTTTTTAAAGCATAGACCATTTTGTTCCTCTGCTCAGAAAGCTGCTGTGAGTCCACATCTCACTCTGAGCAAGAGTAGAAGTCTGCCAGGCTTTATGTGATCTGCTGCCTATCCCACCTCCTCAGCGTCTGTGGTCTCAGCTCTTACCACTTACCCCCTCATTCATGTATTCCAGGCATGCTAGTCTCTTTACTAATCCTTAAAACACACCAGAAGTGTTCCTGTCTTTGGGCCTTTGTTCTAGCTGTTCCTGCTCCCTTAAAATTATCTTCTCCTGGATATCTGTTTGGCTACCAAACTCATCTCTATCAAATCATTGTTCAAACCCTGCATGCTCAATGACAGTGTGCAAACAACCTTACTTAATATAACAACTTGTAACTTCTTAACATTTTTGACCCCCTAACCCTACTCTTTCTAGAGTATTTTGCAACTTCCACACCATAAAGTTTCCTTAGTTGTTAAATTTATTGTCCATCTTTTTGGGGAAAATATATGTTTTACTAGGATAGAGATATTTCTTTTCCTTGATATTACTTCCTAAACGCTTATAAGAGTGATGTGAACATGTGAGGCCCTTAATAAATATTTGTTAAGTAGAATTGAATTGAATTCTAGTTTGTGACATTAGGAGGAAGATAAATTATTGAATGCATATCATTTTTATTTAAGAATTGAAATCTAAATTTAAGTGACAACAATGGTTCAGAGGTTGAAATGCCAGAAAAATTCATTGTATTTTTCAGAAAACACCACTGTTTTTCTTTTCCTTTCAGCCACAGCAATAGTTTCCTGATTCTAGAATTTGAGGTAACTTTAAAATTGAGAAAACAATTTTTAAGAAGGAAAAGCTGACAAATGATTGCTGCCTTCTTTTAAATCTTTGTTATTTTTTCATAAAAACTACATGAAGTTCTAATAATGAGTCTCATTATGGTATCATTGCCAAAATGGTCATGCCATAGACAACAAAGCAAAAACAAACAAACAAAAAACAAAATGACATAGTACTTTTATGTCTACTGTTTATTAAAAGCAGTTGTCTTTAAAAACTAAGCAGAAAATATAATTTTAAGATTAAGGTCATTTTTTAAATTAAATATATTTACCTTTGTTAAAATGCATAATTTATTGCATTACCTGTCTTTTTCTCATTTCTCATGAAAACTGCATCAAGAAATTGTTCTTATCTGCCAACCTGCACTTAGATACAATGAATTAGGGAACTTGTTGGCTTCAGAATGCGTGGTTCCAAGTAGCTTCTTTCTGTGCATATCTTTCACTTTCTCACCAAGCAGATGGCAGCATAGTGGCAAGTTATGGAGACATGCAGGCCAATTTATTCTGCCATGCACTAAAAACTGTGCTAGAATTTGTGGGCAAAATAAAAGCAAGAGAAGGAAACTAACACTTTTTGAGAGCCATATTATATACCAAGCTCTGTGTTAGTGTTTTCATATACACTATTTTATTCAAGAAATCCTTGAATTAGCAAGAGAGATATGTTAACACATAGGAGTACAGTATGTCTTATAAGTACATTTTTTCTTTTTAGAAGGGTAATGCCATAATTGGATTAGTCATTTGAACTTTATGCAGTATAATATTTCTATCAAAAAGAAATGGTGGGACTTTCCAGATACAGTAAATGATTATGAAGAAGGTATTGAGGTGAGAATGAAAGTTATGATTACTGGATGGCTGACCTGAAGGAGGATGAAGAGTTCCAATTCATATGTAACCTCATTAGATAAGCTGCTTTATCTCTCTCTAGTTAATGACTCTCCAAGGGGTTCATAAGCCAGCTGTGATGGCAGCAGGAGCCAGCTTCACATATTGTAGGTGCTAGACACAACCAAGGATTTCTGCCTTTATAACAGCTGAAGGGGTTGGAGGTGGGTTGGTTTGATATGGAGGGAGGATACAACTTAACTATGTTTTAATTCAGGCAAAATGGGCTCTGCTCAAGCAGTTAATATCTGAACTTGTTGTGATTATGTGTAATTCTGTGACCAAGTTTAAATGCAGCTTAAGACTAAATCTTTATATGCCAAGGCCTCATTAAAAAGAAAATTAATAATTAATTCCTTTGCTAATGTTAAAATTGAATGACCTGAAAAATGTATCTGAGAATTAACCATGGCTATAATTCATATGTAAAAATACCAAGGCCATCAAAAAACTGGGTCCTATAGAAGTGTGTTCCCCCAATTTAGTACCTTTACTTGTTGAAGAACTGTTTTTTCTCAGCTAGTTTCTACTGCCTTTTATACCATGCATTCCTAGGACTGGCTCCCACCTGTTATGTATGGGAAATGTGAATTCATTTTCACATTAGCTTATTTAAGACATAATTAAAATAGTAAATCTTTAAAATCCCTATAGTAAATTCCAAAGCCAGAAAGTTGTGGGATTTCTGCAAGAATATTTTACATCTACCTAGGCAAACATACCACTTACACACTAGAGAATAAAGCCCTCAAGAGCATCTGCCTGTAAGTTTGCTTGCATCCTAGAAGAAAGAAAGAATGAGGAGAGAAGAGAGAAAATCCAAAATGTTGAGCATGTTATTATATGTTTAGGAAAGAGCAGCCAGGGAGAAATGACCCTCATAAGCGCAGCAGGTAGTTTTACTAAATGTACAAACTGAAATTACTATGTTCCATCTTAGGACTATAGTTTAGTTTTCCTCTTGTCAAGGCTAATTATTATTTTCCAACTGGCTTCTAAATGTTTTCAATATTTGTTTGTATTGCTATCTCACTTGTATAGTTAGAAGCCAAGCATATAGGGAATGTATTCAGAGAATCTAATAATGCATACTATTCATTTACGTAATGCAGAAACTCAGTATCAATAGGAAATTCTTGAAAATATATAATCCTTCTGAAATATAATCAGACATAGTAAACAATTTTGCTTTAAGTTTACTTAGTCATTTTTACTAGTTAATATAGAAAGTAATTTCTTTGCACAATTGATATTTTATATGTAAATAATTTATTGCATATCAGATAAGCAGTTTGTATCTGATAGGTAGATACTCAGAAGAGTATATATTGCTTTAAAAGTATAGATGTTTTCACAGAAATAGTGTTACACACTATCTAGAAATTCTATAATTGCAGTATGTAATATAATACAAGCAATGTTAGAACAGTAGCTTTCAAAGTCTCTGAAAACATATGTAACCTCACAGGGAAAACTCCTAAATATTTTCAGGTTGATTCTACAAGTAAATTCTGATGTTATAAGCTAATTGACATATTCAGTTCAATAAAATGAAAATCTTAAAATGATACAATTTTAAACACTGTTAGGAAGTTAGAAAGGGGGTGTTATTGCAATTATTCTTAAACATAAATAATCTCCTACATATGCATTGTTAAATATGAAGGTTTTTAGAAATCACTCCTTCCTGCCTTACCAGTTATGGTTTGAGGGAGTAAAGTAGGCTCATTTTAAGGATCTGTTAGCTTCACTGTTATTATTATAACTACAGCAGTGCAGGCCCTTCCTATGTTAGCACAGCTATTTCATTTGCTTTCTTTCCAATAATATGTTCTCATTGTACCCTCTTATCACTTTCAAAAACATAGGAGCTTAGCTGAGCCATTTCTTTGACTTAGAGGAACTTTAGTTTCTACAACAGGAACAATGAAATCAACTTTTTTCCATCTATATAGTTTAGGGTGCATATTCCAGGGGGTCTAGTCCTACAACTAGGTTCTTAAAATAGAACATAAACTGTGGATTCCTAAAGAGAGGATCAAACACTGAGAGTGAATTATTAGTACTTTTAGCATAAGTAAAATAACACACTGTGAGAAGATTAGTTTCATAGGCCATGAAATTGATAAGACAAAACACAGTACTTCTTAGGTAAAAAGTTGAACAAGAAAAGATCAGCAGAGAGTGAATCTGTTGATTTTAGAATTCAGTGATGAGCACTTTGAAAAATATGCAGCAGAAGCCAAATCACTTATTCATCTACAAGAGTAACACTAATGTTACAGAGATTTTTCAAATACAAAAAAATAGACTTGACCATTGGTTTCCATAACCAGAGATAACAGCTGAAATCAGAGCAAGCTGTTATATGAAGGGGGATGAAGTTTCTGTCATTTAGATTGTTACATATTAAGTATTTTCTTTTGAAATTTGTCATAGATTTGCATGATTTAGGACCTTTGAAGACAAAGACAGACCACGCAACTGCTGCATATTCTTATAATTATACTCTTTATTCTATGGTTTAATTTGAATCTTTGAGATCTTTGACACATGGCTTACAAGAAATTACCCTAGTTTTTGTTAAGTGTGAATACCTAAGTGGTACATATTTTAATCAGAGATTTAAACCCAATGAAAGCATCTAATATTCTGGTTTATCAGATTTTGATAATATATATTTACTTACTAATCACTTAATACATTTTATTTAAGAAAATTATATTGTCGGCCAGGCGCGGTGGCTCACGCCTGTAATCCCAGCACTTTGGGAGGCCGAGGCGGGCGGATCACGAGGTCAGGAGATCGAGACCATCCTGGCTAACACGGTGAAACCCCGTCTCTACTAAAAATACAAAAAATTAGCCGGGCGTGGTGGCGGGCGCCTGTAGTCCCAGCTACTCGGGAGGCTGAGGCAGGAGAATGGCGTGAACCCGGGAGGCGGAGCTTGCAGTGAGCCGAGATCGCGCCACTGCACTCCAGCCTGGGCGACAGAGCGAGACTCCGTCTCAAAAAAAAAAAAAAAAAAAAAAGAAAATTATATTGTCAGTCTTAATGTTAATTTTCAAGTTTTTAATATATAAATATCATAGTGACTTAACATTTTTAAAGTTTGCAAGCATCATTGAAATATTTATTCAATAACTATAATATCTAATAAAATTCATAGTTCAATTCCAGACAATTATCAGTTAAATCTAAGTTCAGTTTTCTTGAGTAAACATTTGATTTTTTTATATTCCCACAAAATTGGTTGTATTCTTCAAATAACACCTACTCATATGGCTTTCATGTTTGGTCATCGTTGTAGGTCCTGTCTGTAAGGTGGTCTTGTTGCTCTTCGTTGAACTAAGAGCTCTGCAAATGGTCAGTAGATGTATGCTTCACTTAAGGATTGTGAGGCAAGTTAAAACAGATATGGAGGTTGGACCTGTCAGTGAAAGGGTCAGCTTTTTTGCAGTTAAATATGTTTATGCTACTTTGTTAAATACTCATCCAAGCCTGAGATTCTTCATCTCTGCAGTTGTAATCACAATAGTAATAAGGATGATTACTATGCTAGTTAAATAATACATAAATGATTAATGTTAGACAATATAATAAGAGCTGTGGTAATGGGTGTATTATATAGGGTTTTTGCCATATAACAGTTCTTAGAAGAAAAAAAGCAGTTTAGCCAAACTGAAACTTCTTGACATTTATTTTCTAATGTAATTTTGAGACAGCTATTGTTAAGTAGAACTAATACCTTATAAAAACAAGGCAATTGAAATAAATGAATGAAGAGAAGGATAAGGAAGTTAATGAAACAGAAAAAAAAACAGGAGAAAAGACTGTGGACTGTAAGACATAGAAGAATTGAAAACGAGAAGAAAGATGAAATGAGTGAAATTATAAAATATACCACAGGAGTAGAAAAGATAAAGGAGGAGAAAGAAGAGAAACATCGTCTCTAAACTCATTATTCCTAATGAATTTGCTACCATCTTACATCTGTCTACCAGTTAGTACTAGGCCATGGTACTGTTGCCCCAGATTTTTCTCCTTCCTAGCCTAAGACCACCTTCCTTAGTCTGGTCCTATTTCTTAATCATCACCTCATTACAGGGTAAAGAAACTTCTGCTTGAGTCTTTATATTGCTTGTTCCATATCTTTTAAGAAAACTTAAGCTTAATGATTAATACTTACTTATTTTTATTTTTTTAAATCAGAAATCATATGAAAAAATGCCTTGGGTCTAATTTAACAATCTTAATTTTTTATTTAGTAATTGTTTTGAAAATAGAATGTATTTTATTCTGCTTAGTTATCCATATTTAATTTTGTTTGTATCTTTTTTATACCAAATAAGGATATTTTGCTATATGAATGAGATTCTTTTAAAACATATATTGTTTCTGGCTATAAAAGCAGTTAAGTGTTTCCTGAAGAAAATGGGAAATCCAGATATGCAAAATAGAAAGACAAGAAAGAAAATAATCACCAGCTATTAAAATTTTCCCAACTCTTCATCTATAGTATATATTTCATCTTATATGCTACTTTTTCCTCAATACCACATAGCATCATTTTCTCATGAAATGAAATCTTTTTGAAAACATTACCACCAGTGTTTTTATAATATTAATATCTGAAGGATATTTAGATAGTCTCCAACTCTCTACCACTACAGACATACCTGGTTTTATTCTGTTTTGCAGATATCGCATTTTTTACGAATTGAAGGCTGTAGCAGTCCTGCATTGAGCTAGTCTATCAGCATCAGTTTTCCAACAGCATGTGCTTACGTTGTGTCTCTGTGTCACAATTTATTTCATTTTTTTTATTATTATTATAATTTTCATAGTGATCTGTGATCAGAAATCTTTGATGTTACTACTGTAATTGTCTGGGAGCACCATAAGCCATGCCTGTAGAAGACTATAAGATAGCAAACTTAATTGATAAATGCTGTGTGTGTTCCAACTGCTCCACCAACTATTTCCCTATCTCACTCCCTCTCCTTGGGCTTTCCTATTCCTTGAGACAGAATAATATTAAAATTAAGCCATTTAATAACTCTAAAGTGCTTCTAAGTGTTCAAGTGCAAGAAAGAGCTGCAGGTCTCTCACTTTAAATCAAAAGCTAGAAATAATTAAACTCAGTGAGGAAGGCATGTGGAAAGCTGAGATAGGCCGAAAGCTAGACCTCTTGCACCATACCATTAGCCAAGTTGTGAATTCAAAGGAAAAGTTCTTGAAAGAAATGAAAAGTGCTACTTCAGTGAATACACGAATGATAAGAGAGTGAAACAGCCTTATTGCTGATATGGAGAAAGTTTTAGTGGTCTAAGATCAAACCAGCCATAACATTTTCTTAGTCCAAAATATAATCAAGAGCAAAGGCATAGGTCTCTTCAAGTTAATGAGGGCTAAGAGAGATGAGGAATCTCAGAAGGCAAGTTAGATGCTAGCAAGGGTAGGTTCGTGAGACTTAAAAAAAAAGGAGCCATCTCCATAACATGAAAGTGCAAGATGAAGCAAGTGTTGATATAGAAACTACAGCTAGCTATCTAAAAGGTCTAGCTAAGATAATTGATGAAGGTGACCACTCTAAAGAACAAATTTTCAGTGTAGATGAAACAGCCTTATATTGGAAAATGATGCCATCTAGAACTTGGTATCTGGAAAGGAGAAGTCAATGTCTGGATTCAGAGATTCAGAGGAGAGGCTGACTCTCTTTTTAAGGGCTAAATGCACCTGGTGAATTGGAGTTGGAGATACTGCTCATTTAACATCCAGAAATCTTAGGGCCCTTAAATTATGTTAAATTTACTCTGTCTGTGTTCTATTAGTGTATCAATGAAGCCTTGATAACAGCACATATGTTTACAGCATGGCTTACTGAATGTTTTAAGCCCTCTGTTGAGACTTACTGCTTAGGGGAGGAAATGCCTTTTAATATATTACTGCTGATTGGCAATGCACCTGGTTACCCAAGAGCTCCAATGGAGATACAGGAGATTAATATTATTGTCATGCCTGCTAAAATGATATTTATTCTGCAGCCCATAGATTAAAGAGTAATTTCACCTTTCAAGTCTTTTTTAATAAATACATTTCCTAAGACTATAGCTGCAATAGATAGTGATTCCTTTGATAGATCTGGGCAAGGTAAATTGAAAACTTTTCTGGAAAGGATTCACCATTCCGTATGCCATTAAGGACGTTCATGATTCATGGGAGGAGGTCAAATTTTCAACATCAATAGGAGTTAGGAGAAGTTGATTCCAACCCTTGTGGATGATGGTGAGGGGTTCAAGACTTCAGTTGAAGAAGTAACTGCAGATGTGGTGAAAATTGCAAGAGAACTAGAATTAGAAGTAGATGCTGAAGATATGACTGAATTGCCACAATCTCAAGATAAAACTGCAATGGATGAGGAGCTGCTTCTTATGGTTGGGCAAAGAAAGTGGTTTCTTGAGAAGAAATATTGTCTTCATGGAGACTCTTTGAATATTGTTGAAATGACAAAGAAGGACTTAAAATATTACTTACATAAACTTAGCTGATAAAGCAGTGGCAAGGTTTGAGAAGGTTGACTTTAATTTTGAAAGAACTTCTGCTGTGGGTAAATTGTTATCAAACAGCATCACAGGCCAGGCTCATGCCTGTAATCCCAGCACTTTGGGAGCCTGAGGCTGTTGGATCATGTCAGCCAGGAGTTCAAGACCAACCTGAGTAACATCGTGAGATGTTACAATCTCTGTAAAAAAAAAAAAAAAAAAAAAAAAAAATAGCTGGGCATGATGCACATGCCTGTAGTCCCAACCACTTGGGAGACTGATGTGGGAGGATCACTTGAACCCAGGAGGTCAAGGTTGCAGTGAGCTGTGATCACACCACTGTAGCAAGACACTCAAAAAACAAAACAAAAAAAAATACAGCATCACGTGCCAGAGAGACATGTTTCACAAAAGGAAGTGTCAATTGATGCAGCAAACATCACTGTTGTTTTAAGAAATTATGACAGCCACCCCAACCTTCAGCTGCTACCTGATCATCCAGTAGCCATCAACATCAAGGCAAACCCCCTCATCAGCAAAAATATTATGACTCGCTGAAGGTTCAGAGGATTAGCAGTTTTTAGTAATGAAGTATTTTTTAATGAAGATTTTAGATATAATGCTGTTGCCACTTAATGGACTACAGTATAATGTTAATGTAAACGTAACTTTTTTTTTTTTTTTGAGACGGAGTCTCGCTGTGTCATAGGCTGGAATGCAGTGGTGTGATCTCTGCTCACTGCAACCTCCATCCCCCGGGTTCAAGCAATTTTCTGCCTCAGCCTCCCAAGTAGCTGGGATTACAGGCGCCCGCCACCACGCCCGGCTAACTTCTGTATTTTTAATAGAGACGCAATTTCACCATCTTGGCCAGGCTGGTCTTGAACTCCAGACCTCATCATCCACGCAACTTGGACTCCCAAAGTGCTAGGATTACAGGCGTGAGCCACCGCACCCAGCCTTTGTTTTGTTTTTTAAGTTTTGTGAAACTATAAAGTGAAACATTGTGTAAAAACATTGATGTCATCTATTGGGGGATTTTTCCATTGCTTATTTTTATTTAATTTTCAGTGCGTATCACAATATAACTGAAAAATCACTTGTTGGGGGTGGCCGTACAACTTTCTCCATTGAAGTCATAACCAAAGTTTCTATGAACCTGACTCATGTCATAGGCCAAGTAATTTATTCCAAAACCTTTTAGCACCATGAAAATTAAGTTAATTTAAATAATTCATTTTTATTGAAGACTGTTCAAAAACATACCTCTTTTTAGTCTTCATTCTTTTAAAATGTACTTGCTAGATGCCTGATAAAGCAATTAAACTGTCAAGAAATTAAGGACTGTGAACCAAATCTAAAATGACTAAAGTGATTAAAATCCACCTCTTAAAAATTAATTCTCCATGCTTCTGATCTCACTTTCTTTATTTGCCATTTTAAAAAGTCAAAATTAAAAAATGTTATTTTCTGATATTAGAGCATTAACAGAATACTTAACGATATTGTTCATTTAATTGTGCAACTACTCATGGCCTTTAACATCAGAAGTTATGTTAATGCTTTTACTTGCTAGTCTCTGTGAATATTCATTTTGTTCTTCACATATGTTGATCTTAAGTATAGAATGTTTTATGATAAAATATTTTATAATGGTATATTTGAATGGGTATGAATTTATTTTCTTATATAATTATCTTGAATTATATAGGATCACAGTTTATGAAATTCAAAAAATAGATTTATTTCAATAGCATATGTAATAAAGATATTTTAATTAGCCTTATTGGGCAACAGATACTTTTTGCAATGTTTAATTAAAAATGAAAATGTCTTTATAAGTCATTATTTTATATCAAGTTGAGCTTTTTAATTATGATTATAAGTGCTGAAAAAAAAATTGTGCCCAAAAATATTTTAGAACTTGGATGACTACAATAATTTCTTCATATCAGCATTTCATATGGTAAAATATATGTATAGAACATTTTGAAAGTAGCCTTCATAACATGAAGAATTTCAGAAATAAAGTCTTATTTATATGCTGCTTTTAAAAGAAAAGACATCTCTGAAATGTATTTGTTAAAAGATGTTTGAGGCTGGGTGCGGTGGCTCACGCCTGCAATCCCAGCCCTTTGGGAGGCTAAGGCGGGCAGATCACCTGAAGTCAGGAGTTTGAGACCAGCCCCACAAACATGGTGAAACCCTGTCTCTACTAAATACAAAACAAATAGCTGGGCATGGTGACACATGCCTGTAATCCCAGCTACTCAGGAGGCTGAGGAAGGAGAATCACTTGAACCCGGGAGGTGGAGGTTGCAGTGAGCGGAGATCATGCCATTGCACTCCAGCCTGGGCGACAGAGCAAGACTCTGTAGTTTAAAAAAAAAAAAAAAGTTTGAATTATTTGTAAGTAATTGTCAAACTAGTTGGGGCTTTTAAAATCTACACATAGGTAGTCAGCTAGCTATCTTAACTATATAGCTTAACACCTATGTGCAGAGGTTAGAGCCCTAATCTAAAAGCCATTAGGAATGATGCCTTTAAAAATGTGGTATTTATATAGGACTGGGAAATGTTGAACCTACATTTCTCTGCTGTGGATTCACTTAGTATGTTAGTATATTCCTAACTAGCTATTAACTCTTAACTATATAGTTGAATACCTATGTGTAGATTTTAAAAGTCCCAACTAGTTTGACAATTATTTATAAATAATTCAAACATCTTTTAACAAATAAATTTCAAATATATCTTTTCTTTGAAAATAAACACGTAAGTAAGATGTTGTTTCCTTTCTGTGTACATCTCAGAAAGGGATATACTAACATATTAAGTGAATCTTACAGCAGAGAAATTTAGGTCCAACATTTCCCAGTCCTACATACACACCACATGTTTAAAGATATCATTCCTAATGGCTTTTAGATCAAACTCTAAAAAAAGTAAATAAATAAAGTAGTGCTTCTAATTGTAACAGCAAAAAATAATAAGATATATTTTCCTTTGGTATAATGTAATCTATTCTACAGTAGCCAGAGCAGGTGTTGAAAAGCCTGTGTACTCCAATCATCAAACCACAGAGAAAAAATCCTAGTATCCCGAGCAAGAGGGGATGCTGACAGTTAGAGCCTGAGACAGTTTGAATTATCATGTAAGCATGTCACTCGAGTGATTAAACCTCAAAAGATTAAAAATGGTCAGCATCTCATGAGATACAAAGAATATGCTTTCTGTTTGGACAGTGCCAGTTTTCGGTGACTGATTATTGTTAGCTTTTTCTGCACACTAGCATTTCTCCCAGCCTACACCCTGCACCAAGAGCACAGCAACTCAGGATCATATTCTCTCTTTATTCTGATAGTGATGACATCTGAACAAAAGTGCACAAATCCATATTCATCGGGAAAAAGTCTTGATATTTGAGAACTAAGTAGATATTGTTTACTACTTTCACTATTTTTGAGTAACCATAGAAGTTACTCTCATTATTACTAAATCTTCCTGGTTTCTCCCAAGCTCAACGTATGGATGAGTAGTAGTACTATCCTCAAAATGAAGAGGACAGTACATGTTTATCCACTCATTAGGGAATTAAAACATAAGCATAATGATTGGTCTGTATGAATATGTAATATATGTGCATACATATCTTACCATATTTATTTTTTCCACTGTCTACTAACTACTTAATCTGAATGTCATAAGATTTAATCTGTATTAGTCAGCCTAAGGGGAGTGCAAATAAACTTGGCTCAGAATTGCATGCTTTACAGTGTAAAACTTAGAAATTATTTTTTAGTTTTCATTGAATAGATTCAATCCTTAGAATCTGTCTATTTTGGGAAGAAAAAAGTGGGATTACATCCTTCTTTTTATTTTCCACAATACCTATTCTTTAAAGGATTGTGGAAATGGTTTAGCCCAGAGTAAGCTAGAAATCACTGCATAGGGCTTATTCAATGTGTTATCAGTGTCAGAACAACTTTTACCTAAATACATTCAAAGCTTTCTTATCTTTCATTTATTTCTGTTAAATGATGTGGACAGTGTCTTTTAACTAGAATTTTGTATTTATGTTTGCTATCATGGTGAATTTTTTTTTCTTTTTGGTACCACATATTGTCACATTGGTTGATTTTCTAAAAAAATACAGAATATCTAACATTTGGTTGATGCAATAATTGGTATCATTATTTAAATATTCTTTATAAAGAGATGCAGTTTAGATGGGTTTGATAATTTATAGACTGAATTTATTTTTATTAGCAGTTATGTTTAAGTCCTGTATTCAAATATTATAATTATACTTCTTTTATGCAATAGTATTATATTATGATTTAATGGAGATATGAGCAATTCTAAATGTGTCAATCCCCTATGATATTTTCTGTTAAAATTAATTATAATTGCTACTAAAATGTAGAATTTATTTGATCCATCTTCATAAAGAGAGTTTTTTTCTCCTTCTAGAGGGAATTGATTTATTTCACATGATGACCAAAACTAAGCATTCTTACAATAGGTCATAATTCGGTTCAAATTGTAGCATAGTGAAAATAAAACTGAGGGATGATTGTCTAATGCTTTGGAAAGTTAATTTGATTATTTTTATAGGAGATGTATTATTTACACATTTCATGATAAATATTGATTTGAACTGCACATGGGATTTAGTTTAGAAATCAGGAAAAGTGAAAGCAACTGACTTAAACTGAACATTTTATTAAACATTGGAATTTGTTTTACATTAAAATGTATATTTAGTTCAGTATAACATAGTTTACATGAAATATGACCTAGCTTTATTTAGGTCTTTGTTTTACTCTGAGTCCTTTGGTTTTGTCATTTTTAAGTCCATCATACTGTGCCATGCACACACATTTGTGGGATTGGCTAGTTCAAAAGAAATTATTTGCTTTAATTAATCCATTTGGATATTTAAGAAATATATTCCTAAAACTTTTTAGTACTTTGTGCAAACATGATTCTTGGCAAATTCCCTGAGGACATTTTTTTATATTTTCACCCCAACAGAAGCTAACATTATTGTACCCTTATCATATTAAGTGAGATAAAATGTAAACTTCTCAATACATTCTCTGGCCTATCAGCAAAATAAAAAGTCATTCAACTGGGATTTCGGGAGACTTTATAAAAGCAGAGAAAAATTGTAGGCCACTTACAAAATTCTGCAGTCAAATTATATTTTAAAAAATCCATCTAGAGTTAGAGACATGTTTGGACTAATTTAGTTCAAGTAAGTATGATTCTTGCATAAATAGTGATTTTCACACTGCCCTTTTTTATGTAAAAATATTAACAAGTATTTCTGCTTTTTAGACCAAAATAAATTATATTCCGATATTTTATTATGATATCCATTGTATAGACTGATTTATTTTAAAGCCAGGAGTTTCTAGGTAAGTACTGAATATCTCTTAATGAGAATAATAGTGACTATATAAAATACTATTATATCTGTGTGACCATGCAGGTTATATGACAACAAAGAAGAAACTTAAATTTTTTTTATTTTCTTCTGACAGATAAGTTTGCAAAGGTGGCTCTAGTAGAGGTATTGACAGTAGCAAACAAAAAAATCTATTCCCGTAGGTAATGAAATAAATTAATTACTTATGGTTTTCATTTACTAGGTAGTTTAGTCTGTATTATTTTCACAGTAACCTCAATATGTCTAGTAAGTCTAAATAAACATTAAATTTTATTGAAGAATGAAAAAGAAAGCCACACTCAGAGTCACTAGTTGTTGGTAAATACATACTTTAATTGTATGTATTTTGCTTCTTTGGTTACCAGGAAATATTTCTTTCTCACACAGGCTCTTTAGGTTGGAATTGCCTGAGTGGCTTTTAATGTTTATAGAGGAAATGTAGGAGGAATGATTTCTTTTAAAAAATGATTTATAACCCCTATAGGGATTCATAATATTATTAAGAAATTTTAATTCACTGAATTCTGGATAGCAGAACTGCTTCAGCCTCTTACTTTTTTTTTTTGGACTTTTACTTTCATAATTTCTCCTTTCACTAATACCATCTTTTACTTTTATTTTGGTCTTTTACTGTTCACCCTGCTTAATCAAATCTTTCCCCATCCTATAAGGTCTAACTCATGCTTTCCTTCCATGAACACTTTCAGTTGTGCATTGATTCTACATACATATATTTTGTACCAGGAAGTAATAGGGAAGCTATAGAAATAGTTGTGGACAAAAAAAAACACATAAAAATTGCTAATATAAAAGCTTATAAAGCTTACATTCTAGTGAGGTGGGGCAGACAACAAAATAAATTAATAATCTACATTGTATTTTAGAAGGTGATAAACAGGAATGGAAGTAGAAATGGGGTGGTGAGGCAGGGGTTGATTGACAATTTTAAGTAACAGTAAGAGGGTGATATTTCATAATGTAGAAGAGGAAAGGAAGCAAACCATGTACATATCTAAGGAAAGAATCTTCCAAACAGAACACCATCTGTGAGCCATGAGGCTGAGGCATGTCTTTTGAGTTCTGGTAATGGTAAGGAAACCAATGTTGAAAAAGCAAGAGAAAGAGAGTAGGCAGTGAATTCATGTAAATACTCTCAGGAGTTGGGCTATTGTACTGAGGCAAGTGAGAAGCCACTGGAGAATTTCAGCAGAGGAGTGACATAATCTAACTCTGGGTTGAAAGAATTCTCCTCCTATAAAACAATGGCCTTCATTAAGGCAATCATTTTTATCTAATTTCCCGGACTGACTTCTTACTTTCCTAACCTGATTATATGCTCCTTTTAGTCAAGGACATGAGATATAATCAATCTTTTTATATTCCCTACAGCATCTAGAATAAAGTAGGTGGTATAGTGGCACTCAGTAGAGAATTATTGATTTGGTTTGGGAGGCTGGAGCAGAACAGATAAAATAAGCATTGCTGCCAGCATTGGCAGCTCCAGAAATCTTTTCTGCACAACTCCGTTAGTTTACCTTGTAAATACAAACAGTCCAATAGAAGCTGCCTTCCTGTCTTCAATCTAGAACTGAGAATAAATCACAAATAATCAAGTTCATCTGTATTGTCTTTCAAAATCTGAGCAAGTGTACACTTGCTCAGTGTATACTACAAGTATATACTTGCTCAATGTATACTACAAGTATATACTTGTAGTATAATTACTATACTACAAGTATAGTAATTATTCATGACAGCCAATCCATTCTAGAATGCCTACTATTCCTTTACAATTTGTTTTAGCAGATCCTGTGATTTAGTCAGAGAAATGTCCAATGTCCTCTTCGTTTGAGTGCAGTGAAGGCTGTCTTTAACAACAGATGCAAAAGCACCTTTCTCCTATTCATTTCTCAGACATTTATGTCTTGCAGCATGTGAGAAGCATATTAAGTGCTAGTCAGGTAATAGAAGAAAGGTTTCCACAGATAATACCTGACAATTCAATCAAAGAAAAATCGGGGAAAAATTCATGGAGAAAGGTGGCTTATAGACGATAGGTGGAGTTCCTTGGACATTCACAGAATAAACAGCATTGCCTTGATTTCCTTTTCAATACTTCAGAAATATAACTTCACCTATCATTTTATAGCATCATAAATCACCTATCTACCGATGAAATTACATTTAAGACCTCAAGTAAAAGCTTAATTAATTTAATTTTAAAACGCAGAGCAGATACTATGCTGATCCATATGATTGTGTGTATGCCTTTGTCTTAATTTATTTCCATGTTGTTTCTTAGAAATGAATGTATGGTAAGATGTACTCCTTAAGGTAATATGTATGCTAGATCTAAAAATGCAGCCATCAACAAACATTCCCATCTCTACATCCAGCTTGATTTTTTTTCTCTTTAGCACTTCTTACTATTAACAGAGCATATATTTTATTTATTTGCCTTATTTTCTATCTACCCCCTTCCCACCCCTATTAGAATGTAAGCTTCTTAGACTCTTCTGGAACGAGACTGAAACAGGCAAACACAGAAGTAAGGAGATAGGTTAGCAAGCTATGAGAAGGTACAGTGCTGTCTTTTAATGTAGTGAGAAGTGCTTAACACTGGCTGTATTTTGAATATTGAGCCAGCAGGATTTGGTGTAATAGACAGAGGAGTGTTCAGTATAACTTCACATTCTCTGGTCTGAGCAAATGTAAAGATGAAGTTTCCACTGAGACAGCACTAATTGTGAGCAAAGTAGGATCACGGGCAAACATCAGCAGTTAGGTTTTTCATGTGCTCAGTGTGAGGCAACTGTTGTATGCCTACACAGTACATGGCCTTGTGATTCCTGATCCATTCTTCTTGATTCCCTTGCTCTATGTGTATGGCAGGTCTTTACCCCTGCAGGTAGTGTTTCCCAGGCTACCTTATCAGCTAACTTTTGACAGCATGTGGCCCCTATTAAGAACTGGCTAGAGCTTGGAAGGCATAAGAAGGCAAAAAGGCGAGTATTTCTCCCTTTTTTCTGTGCTTTAAGTGTGGTTTCCATCGGCAACTATTTCTCTTCCATGACTCCAGGTCCCTCCATGCTGTTCCAGTTTGTCCTCATTTATTCCTGTCCAGTAACTCTGCCTTCTCCTTTTCCCTCTCCAGTGAAAGGATAGCAAAAACATCTTCTCTTGCCTGAGGCTTGTCAGCTCTTCTAACATCTGTATAAACAACTTCATAAATTAAATTATCTCTGTTTCAAATATATGTTGCTGTTCTTGCATCCAGATTTATATAATTTACAAGTAGAGATAAAAGGTAGAGCAGTCTACATCTCAGAGAATTATATGCGCCAATGCAGTTGAAGAATTCTAACAGTCCAGGTACCAGAGGGAGTGAGGTGAGAATGATAGGAAGTAATAGAGAGTGGCACCCTGGAAATTGTTAAGTATAAAAAGAGTAATGATGAGGTCTAGGCTATGCCATGGGAGGGGACGGTTGAAGTATTTGGAGACATGAACACTGAAGAACGAGAGGTCAAAGAACCCAGGAGTCATAGTTCAGTAAGAATTATTTACCTGGAATTTGATATTCATAAATATTATGACAGGAGTAGTATCAGTAAAAATGTCAGTGAGCTAGGGACTAAAATCTTCAAGGAGTGAGAAAGACTGACCTGGAGTCTGAATAGCAACAGCTTGGAGGGACAGAAGTCACATAATCAGTTGACATAAGCATTATAGCTATGGGATTTTATATGGAAGTGAAGAAGTAGTTAAGACTTTCAAGGTTATAGAAGAGAAGAGCAAGGAGAATTACACACTTTCCGGCCCAGTGACGGTAAGGGTGGAAGAACAACCAACCCTACTTAAGAGGGCTTCCAGAGAAGCTATGTGCTCTCAGAAGTAAGCAAGATTCTGTGAGGATGTTAGAACAAGAAAGGATAGGGAACGTTGAAGAAGATGGTGAAGATTTTGCTGATGACTAAGGATAGAGTAAGGCATGTGGTTATACTGTTATGGGTGCAGATTTGTGTGGAGATGATAATTCAGATGTCGAGCAATGACTTGGGAGTACTGGGTAGTTGTGGTAACTGATGTATCAAGGACAAAAGACATGGAGGGATTATTCTAGATTGTCTTTGAGAAAGATCACATTCACTATGCTGTAAGTATAGGGAGCAAGGGAGAGGCAAGGGTTTTCCCAGGATTACATAGAACTTTGGCTCCTCTGTCATCACTTTTGGTGATGTGGAGATGACAGACAGTTGCTATTATTGGGAGCTAGTGATAATGTTGACATTTTTACTAGAGTATATGATTTGAAGTGGTTTCTATTTGTCTGTAAAAAAATCGCTATTAAATTTATTATATAAACATTTATAAAGTATTTAACAACTTTGTTTTGAATGGATTTATACAGATTTTACCCTTCAAATGTTGTCTACGTTTCCCAAATTGTAAGATCAGTTTTTTACAGCAGAAAATATATTTTAAATTTCTTGTATATTTCAAATTAGCTAGAAGAGAACTGTCATGTTTCCAACACAAAAATATTTTAAGTAATAGATATCTATCTCAATTACTCTTATTTGATCATTACACATTTTGTACTTGTATCAAAGTATTACATGTACCCTCAAAATATGTACAAATATGAGATATCAATTTTAAAAAAAAGAAACTTAAAAGAAAATACATTTTAGAGCAGAGTAGATAATATATTTACTGTGGCCAGATATTTAAATTCTGAGGGTCACTTCATCACCTGTATGAGAGATACAGTCATATGCTACATAATGACATTTTGGTCAAGGACAGACGACATACACAACAGCTGGCCCATAAGATTATAATACCATATGTTTACTCTGCCTTTTCTGTGTTTACATATGTTTAGATACACAAATACTTACCTTTGTGTTACAATTGCCTACAGTATTCAGTACAGTAACATACTATGCAGGTTTGTAGCCTAGAAGTGGTAGGCCTCATAGCCTAGGTGTGTAGTAGGCTGTACTATCTCAGTTTGTGTAAGTACACTCGATGTTTGCATAATGATGAAATAACCGAATGATGCATTATTCAGAATGTATTCCCATCGTTAAGGAATGCATGACTGTATATTTGTTTCATGCAACAGAACAAATTAAGAGACTTTTAAAAACAAATTAAACAATATTCCCCTTATGTTATCTAACATATCTAAATAAATCTGAAATATTTATTGAATGCATTATTAAAATATGAAGGTCAATTGGGAGAATTTTCATAGTTATTTGGGTTATAGCTTTAAAAATTACAGATTAAGTGTTAGCAAAATTTGACTAAACATCGAGGACTGTTTATTATTGTATTCATGTATAATTCTTTTTAAAAAATTATACATGTCCAGAAATTCATAAAATTATAAAAAATTGTAAGAAAATAAAAATTGTCCTAAATCTTACTGCATGTATTTCTTACATTTCTCCAGGTGTGTTCTGTATGGCTCTTTACTATGCCTGTATTTTTACATATGTAGTTAATTATTTTTGATAAAATTTAGATCATACTGAATATGTTGTCTCATTTTCATTCAACAAAGTCATCAGCATGTTGCCACAAATGTTTCTAGCTATTATCTGAATGCATGATTTCAACTATCACTGAATCCTGTTCTATGATTGTAGTACTATTATTTTAATCATGTATATTTAAGCAGTTGTTACTGGTGCTTCTCACGTGAGAAACAATCTGTGTTTAAATCACTATACCTATCTTTTTTTAAAAAAACTTTCAGTTCAGGGATACATGCGCAGGTTTGTTATGTAGATAAACTCGTGTGTGACAGGGGTTTGTTGTACAGATTATTTCATCACCCAGATACTAAGCCTACTACCCAGTAGTTATTTATTCTGTTCCTCTTCCTCTTCCCACCATCCATCTTCAAGTAGGCTCCAGAGTCTTCTGTTCCCCTATTTGTGTCCATGAGTTCCCATCCTTTAGCTCCCACTTACAAGTGAGAACATGTAGTATTCACTTTTCTGTTCCTCTGCTACTTTGCTAAGGATAAAGTCCTCCAGCTCCATCCAAGTTCCTGCAAAAGACGTGATCTCATTCTTTTTTACGGCTGCATAGTATTCCATGGTGTATATGTACCACGTTTTCTTTATCCAGTCTTTCATTGATGGGCATTTAAGTTGATTCCATATCTTTGCTATTGTGAATAGTGCTGCAGTGGGCATTTGTCTTTATGGTAGAAAGATTTATATTCCTCTGGGTACCTACCCAGTAATGAGATTGTTGTGTCGAATGGTAGTTCTGTTTTTAGCTCTTTGAGGAATCACCACACTGCTTTCCACAATGGTTGAACTAATTTATACTCCTACCAACAGTGTATAAATGTTCTCTTTTTTCTGCAACCTTGCCAGCATCTTTTATTTTCTGTCTTTTTAAATAATAGCTAAACTGACTGGTATGAGATGGTATCTCATTGTAGTTTTCATTTGCATTTCTCTAATGATCAGTGATATTGAGCTTTTTTTCTTTCTTCTTTTTTTTTTCTTTATTTTATTTTATTTTATTTTATTTTTTTGAGACGGAGTCTCGCTCTGTCGCCCAGGCTAGAGTGCAGTGGCGCGATCTCGGCTCACTGCAAGCTCCGCCTCCCGGGTTCACGCCATTCTCCTGCCTCAGCTTCCTGAGTAGCTGGGACTACAGGCGCCCGCCACCACGCCCGGCTAATTTTTTGTATTTTTAGTAGAGATGAGGTTTCACTGTGTTAGCCAGGATGGTCTCGATCTCCTGACCTCTTGATCCGCCCGCCTCGGCCTCCCAAAGTGCTGGGATTACAGGCTTGAGCCACCGCGCCCGGCTGAGCTTTTTTTCATAAGCTTGTTGGCCATATGTATGTCTTTTGAAAAACGTCTGTTCATTTCCTGTGCCCACTTTTTAATGTTTTTTTCTCTTGTAAATTTGTTTAAGTTCCTTATGAATGCTGGATATTCCACTAATAAAGCAGAAAAGAGAGAAGATCCAAATAAACACAGTTAGAAATCACTATACCTGTCTTTGATTATTTTGATAATCAATTTTCAGAAATAGACTTATTTAGGTAGAAAGTATTGGAATTTTATTGTGGATAGCCAAACTGACCTCCAGAAATATTTAACTACCAAGAGCCCTTATCAAAACTGAGCATTGTCTTTTGGTTTTCAATCTTTGCCAATGTGATAGGCAAAATAATTTCTCATTTAAAAAGGGATTACTACTTGGTTTAAGGCTTAGTATTTTTCATATCCTTATTGGCAGTGTATGTAGTGTGTATCAGTGTCTCTTTAGGCCTCTTTACTGATTTAAAAATTAGGATGCTCTACTATTCATCAAATATGGCTGTGAACTCTTTTGCATATATCAGTTCATATATGTATATATAATATAAACATGATTTGTTGCCATTTAATTTTATATATGCTACTCTGCATTTTTATGAGTCTATCTTTTGCTTAATGGTTTATGGCTCTGATATGATGTTTGAAAGCCTTATCCATAACAAAGTTAGGAAAATATTTATTTCTGTGTTCATCTTTTGTTAAATGGCTTAAATTTTATGTTAAAATTTACTTTATCAAGATTATGGTTTGTTTACAATGTGAAGGTATTTCTGACTGTCGGCTCCCACTAATCTATTCAGTAACGTTGATACCTTTATTATTAAACGCATCCTTCCCACATTATTTTGAAAGACTAATATTTTTTTCCAAGGCCAGGTAGAGACTAAAGCCTGTTTCTAGACTTTCTGGTCTTATTTAATTCTTTATTATTTATTTTGTGGCTAATATGGCATTGTTTTACTTATCATAGATATCTGTTTCACAGATATTGATATACCAAACATGTCTTTGAAAGAATCTCTGAAATGATACTTATTTAAAGCTAAAGTTTGCTGCACTGAGGGCTACTTTTGTTTCTACCCAAACTAAGGATAATTCCGTCTCTAATCAATGGGCAATTACATATAAAATATTATAATGGAAATAAGGGCTAACTCAGGTATTTTGGAGAGAGATATATGCTGAAGTAGAAACTTCAGTGGCTTGAAAAGCAATTAGCTCAAGCCTTTGTAGTATGTCTTGGTGCAGACTTGGAGATATAGTGTATATGGACCTCAATTACTGAGTTCCTGTTTTTAGTAAATAGCTGCCCTGTAGGTCACTAAGTGCTATTGCTGACAAGGTTGTGTATGAGAAAGCTTTTATTTTAATAACCAGTGGCAACTGGCACTTACAAAGAACCTTCCATTTCTCAAAATTCTTCTTTGGTTTAGAACGGCTATACAGAATTGCAGGCACCTCAGGGATAGTAGAACTAAACCAATTATAAACAAAGGAATAAATGAGACATCAAAGAAAAGGAGTTTTTAAGTAGAGACAGAACACCAAAACTTATTCTTATGAAATGTGGTTTGGTGTCTTTATGACTATATTGACCAAAAGAACTTTGGTTTAAAAATATGCTTTACTTGAGATCCAAACACAATATCCTGCAGATAAGTAAATTCATTTTCCTCAGAAAGAAAAATAAGCTATGCCTAGTTCATGTAGAGTCTACACTGTAGTTGTCAGCTTTAATGTTACAAGTTTGGTGATCTTGGGAAAGTTACTTAAATTATTTTAACCTGTATCCTATCTGTAAAATAATGAAAATGCCTTCTGTGAAGACAGTTTTGAGGATTAAATTAGGTAATTATATAGAGTGCCTTTCTCAGTCTGCAGTATGCAGTTGAGAAATGAATGGTGACCAATGAAAAAGCATGATTATATTTTTATTTTTAAGTAAATTATATTTTATATATTTAAGTTATACAACATGATGTTGTGGGATACATTTAGATAATAAAATGATTACTATAGTGAAGCAAATTAACATAGCCATCATTTCATATAGTGACCTGTTTGTTTGGTTTTGTGACAAAACCAGGTAAAATCTACTCATTTAGCAGGAATCCAAACACAGTATAATTTTGTTAACTATTCTCATGTTGTATATTAGAATTCTATGAAGTTGCCAATGTGATAGGCAAAATAATTTCTCATTTAAAAAGTAATTACTACTTGGTTTAAGGTTTAGTGTTTTTCATATCCTTAATGGCAATGTATGTAAGTATGTATCAGTGTCTGCTGCTTTCTAGCCTCTGACCTGCATCATGCCATTTTCTCCTCACCCCCTTCTTATCCCTGGTAACCATTATTTTATTCTCTATCTCTGTTTATTTGACTTTTTCTTAGATTCCACGTGTAAGCAAGATTATGCAATATTTTTCTTTATGTACCTGGCTTATTTCTCCTAGCGTAATATCCTCTAGGTTCATCTATGTGGTGGCAAATGGCAGTATCTCCTTGTTTTGTTTAATGCTGAATAATATTCTGTGTGTGTGTGTGTATTATATATATACATATATATATATTTATATATATATTTATATATTTTATATATATATGCTATGAATAGTTTATCCAGTCACCAACAGATAGTTAGGTTATTTCCTTGACTTGACTATTGTAAATAATGTTTCAATAATAAGGGAGTACAAATATTTTTAGAAGGTGGTAATTTCATTCCCTTTGGGTATAGTCCCAGAAGAGGGATTGCTGGGTCATATGGTATATCTGATTTTTAGCTCTCTAGGAACTCCATATTGTTTTCCATAATGGCTGCAGCGATCTGTGTTCCCACCAAAGTGAAACAAATGTTCCTCTGAGGAACATTAAATCTATAAGGGGCTATGTAATATATAAGGTTTTATATAGAAAACCACAAAACATTTTCAAATGGCATTAAGAAGACCTCAAAATATAGAAAGGCATAAAATATTTATTGCTCGAAAGTATTAATATTTTAATTATATATAAAGCCTTAAATTAATTTATTAATTAAATATGAATATGATATAACTTCCAGTAGGAAGTGGTATGTTTGTGTGTGTCTGCTGAATTAAATGGAAGATCAAAAATGGCTAAGAATAGCTAAAATTATTTGAGGATGAAGTTATGGGGATGTATTATAAAGCCATGAAATTCAGAAAATGCATTGTCAGCAGAAAGATAAGTGGCATAAATAGGACAGAAATATCAAACAATGGAAATATATATAACAGAGGTGACAAAAATAGATAGTAGTATACATGATAGATAAAATCAGTTCCATAGAGTAAAGACAATTATGTAGGGAAAATAAATAAACACTTTCAAAGAAAATATAGACTATCTTAATGACCTTTGATTAGAGAAGGAATTCCAGAAAGCCCTGTCTATAAAGAAAATCTTGATAAAATTGACTATAAAAATAAAAATATAAGACACACAGTGGAAGAAAACGTCATATATATTTGTCATATGTATTTAAGTATAATTAGATAAAGAAATATCTATTATATATTTATTTAAAAAGAAAACCACAAAACCGTAAGACAGAGACAAGCAATCTAATCACAATGTGTGAAACTGAAGGAAAAAGAATGTCTACTAAATACACAAAATTACAGAAACTACCAAAATGGAGAGCAATGAAAAATTACTTAAGACATAATTAAGAAGTGTAAAATATTAACTAAAAATATAGCAGCATATTAAAGGTCATCCCAAACACACAAAAAATGGAAAATTTCATAAACGGCTGGTTGAACTGCAGATATGTAAATCTGATTACAAGTAATGTAGCAATATTTATCAAACTGAAAATTATCTCACTACTGAAATTCTAGTGTACACATTCACACAAAGTTCAAAATGGTTGATCTCTCTCTCTCTCCCCATTCTCCCTCCTTTTGTTCCTCTCTCCCTTCCTCCTTTCCTCGTTCTCTTTATCTCTTTCTCTCTCTCCCTTTTCATCTTCCTCCCTTCCCCCCTCAGTTTCAAAAAGTAAACACACTGTATGATTTGGAAATTTTTCTTAGAAAAAGTCAATTCAAAACTTTTCAATATTAATCTTTGAGAAGACCATTAAACAAGCCAATCTGGTTTTAATATAACTATTACATATTTCAGATAAATTCAGTAAAATATATACAAGCAAAGAAAAAGTACTGATTTTATTCTACTTTCTATAACCCTCCAACATTGTGACTTATCAATGCCATATGTGAATCTATATCTATTAATGTATGCATTGAAAAAGTTGGATTTAAGCTGAGCATGTAAAAATAAACAGATATATTAGTTAATTTTGAGAGCTGGCATGTTATAATTAATACAACTGTAGCTTTATATGATTATACATGTTATATATTCTTTGAAATAAAACAACATTTAACTACCAATTTATGACATTGTTCTATTTGTTAAAAAGAAAAACTAGACATATGGACTATTTTTTTCTTCTTAAAAAAATGTGTTAAGGAACATTCCCCTTAATAAAAATCAGGGTAGTTACCCATCAAAAAATATATTTCTCCAGTAAATATTCATCTTCAGGTTTAGTATATCAGTAGTTATATATAAATTCAGCTTTTTGAAACATCACAATAGACATTTTAACCGTAATAGTCATGGGACTTAAATTTAGACTACCTTGTCACATCATCCCTGATACACTGCCCATTTAAGGGCAAGAAGAATCCTTATTACATGAAAAAGAATTTATTTTAGTATATTCTATTCAGAGTCCGTAGTTAAAACCCAGGCTATGTTGTCATCTTCACATTCAAAATCATAGTGTATTAAGACTTTTTCCATAGCTAACATCCTTGAGGTTGACATCTTCTTGTGACTGAGTAGATAGCAGCAAGAAATTCAATTACAGCAAGCCAGCTTTGTCATTGCACCTGTCTGCTTGCACGGGAAATGATTTGTAAATTGGGCTTTATCTTTCCCGTCCCATAAATCTCCTGTCCATAATTGACACTTGTCAGCATAGATGAATAGCGGGAGAAAGAAAACAGAAAGTAAATGAGTAGCCCACCTGGGAAAAATGATGTCTTGTTGCCTTTGGGAGTCATTTACAAACAGCAGTACCTGCGGGCCAGTTTTTATCCATAAGCACGTTGCAAACATTTTACTATTGAAAAATACAATGCCAGGGCTGAATCATAACAAAGACAAGACAAAGGAACCATAATTAACATATAACATTTTTCCAGAGAACATAAACATGTCTTCCAAGGAAATTGAAAGCTTTTCTTTACTGTTTGTGATGCTCACTTATTGCTGCTGCACATTTGTAAGTATCGAGTTAGCATCTGACCTGTCAAAATGCATTCATGAAGCAAGCATTTTGGTTGTCTTGGGAGTTGATATTGTCACTTGTTACACAACTCAACATGAGTTCAAAGTTGTTTGATACCAGTGTCGACAGATTGGTTTTAAAAAGACGTGAGAATGACGATATTTTCTTTCAAATGTCAAAGAAAAACAGGATTCCATAATGATGATCTTGGGAGCAAGCACTACCCATAAAAACATGACAGATAAACCTTCATATCTAATTTTTCTAAATGTCTTATATGACTTCACATCTCTTTATGAAGCTTATCTCATATTGCAAAATATTTTTACTTTAAAACCAAAGGAAAATATTTCAGAATTCATTAATAATTCTTAATACTAAATACCTAAATATTCTGAAACATAATTCTTAAATTATCACTAAAATTTGATTGTTTTAAATTTTAAAAATACCTAAATAAGATTAAATGATAGATTGAATATTTTGCAAACTAAATTATGAATAACAAAAAATTATATATATATATATGGGTTTACATAGTCTTTTCTATGTATTACCTGATTTTTAATAATCTAATTCTTAAATGTGTATGATTTTGTCAATATTTTTAAAAAATCTTTAACTTAATATTAGAAAAAAGAATTTATCATTTCTTTTCAATTGTACAAGGCCTCAAACTATTTCTCATCTCTATCATTTACTAGCATCTTCTAACTTAAAAGAATAACATCTTTCTTACCCTCTTTGTGCCCACAGATCAGCATGAATTTAAAGAGTTTATACCTTCTCCAAAATGAGTGCAAACAATTAGAAATGGAGCACTTGGCAGGAGCGCAGATTTATCTTGAATACCTCTCTCTATCACTATCTTCCAGTCTTATCACCTGTAGTTCAATGGGTTGTTTGCCTTTCTCTCTAGTATTCATAGAAGTTGTAAGCATTATATTATATTTACACTACAAAATGAAAAGTTGTCTGATGATGTTGTTACTTCTCTGTAGGTTATTGTTAGTGTAAAGTAACTTATTTATTTATACCTACTTTCATATGCTGAGCTTGTAAAAACAGTTGGGAATTTCTTGGATATTGATCTAAAGCAATAGATATTAATAGCCTAATACAGTAGTACTCCATAACCTTTTATCTGGGTCAGCTTTGTCATGTGGCAACTTAACTGAATACCGCCCCCCCAAAAAAAAACACAACTTTTCAATACAAATAAGAATGCTGCATTTCTGCCTGTCTCTTCCTAAATCATCAGGTTTCCCATAAATAATATTGTTTTTCTAAATGGTATCAGCAGTTTAGACAGAGATATTTAAAATACTAGGGTAAAATTAAAATATTAGGTAGCATTGAAAGTAGAGATGTGAATACTTTTGTATTTATGACTGCATTTACCAAGTCATGTTCCCTATTGATATGCAAAATAAAAATAAGTATTAAAAAATAAAAGTAATAAGTTGGGGGCAAGGGGAGGGAGAGCATTTAGCAACTTGGACAAAATGACTTAACTAATAAGTGACAGAGCTGGGATTGTGCCTTTTCTTGCATGACTTCAAATCTTGTGAAGGAGTGTGGGGAGTGTCTTCAGTAATACACTTTCTGTTTACTGTAGTTAACTATATATGCTTATGAGACAGTACCCAATCATATGTTATTGTTTAATTCCAAATATGAGAAGTAAAATTTATGTTGATTTGAAAATATTTTTTCTAACTTTGGAATATAATGGAATTATATTCCATGTATGTTACATACCTTGAATATTTTGATGTGTGTGTGGCTAAAGTTCTTTTGCACCTTATCTGAGGAGTAATGTACAGTTTTGCAAATGAATCATTGGGAAGCAACTGACAAATAATTCTTGTTTTTGTACACATAACCTGGTAATCTGGTTCCAGAAAAGTATTTTTTTTTTTTTTTTTTTTGAGACGGAGTCTCGCTCTGTCGCCCAGGCTGGAGTGCAGTGGCGGGATCTCGGCTCACTGCCAGCTCCGCCTCCCGGGTTCACGCCATTCTCCTGCCTCAGCCTCCCAAGTAGCTGGGACTACAGGCGCCCGCCACTACGCCCGGCTAATT
Source organism: Homo sapiens (assembly GCF_000001405.40). NCBI lineage: Eukaryota > Metazoa > Chordata > Mammalia > Primates > Hominidae > Homo > Homo sapiens. Next base: position 93,291,616 of record NC_000006.12, on the reverse strand, counting down.
TTTTGTATTTTTAGTAGAGACGGGGTTTCACCGTTTTAGCCGGGATGGTCTCGATCTCCTGACCTCGTGATCCGCCCGCCTCGGCCTCCCAAAGTGCTGGGATTACAGGCGTGAGCCACCGCGCCCGGCCCAGAAAAGTATTTTTTATCTGTTGTTTAGTGATGGAAGTTTAATCAATTTTGCAGCTTTTGTCAAATATTTTATTTGCCTGTGTGATTAGACGCTTAATGATAATTCTCTTTGGTCTTTGACTAAAAAAACAAAAACCGTAAAAGCCTTAGAATTCTGTTAAATTCAAAAGTTCTTATTTTAAAACATTGCATAAGGAACATTGCATTCAAAATAAAATTTTAGTAAGTACAAACTGTAGAGAGTATTCCTTTTATTTCTCATTGATATGTAGTACTTTATAAACAAAATATGTTACACAATTGCTTTTGCTTGCCATCCAAGACAGTTTAGGACAGAAATCAGGGATGTATCCATAAGGGGGTTTTCAGAGACACGCACTACTGAACAAATTTTATTACTATCAAAATATAAAATTTACTCATTTTAAAGAAAAATTCGGATTTCTTGGTCAGTGATTTGCAAATAGTAAGTGAACATCTACAGAGTAGTATTTGCAACATAAACTACTGGGATCTATTTCAATGTTGTATTCATTGTTTGCAGCTGTATTTTTTGTTTGCTTTATGATGATGATGATGAAATGCAGAATCCAGTTTATATTAACTATTAGATAGAATTCCCTTTAAAGAGTCATTTGTGTGACTTTTGCTGGGCCACAAATCTTAAAATGCTAGGACACTGGGCATTCGTAAGAGCCTCGCTGTTATGTTTAGTGAGAAGTCCTGTAATGGAAGGTACTCATACCCTGTGTTGCTTCACATCTCAGCAAGCAAACATTACTGCCAAACCTTGGTTATAGTTTGTATATAATCTAATGGTTTAAGCAAAAGAGATCTAAAACTGAATAATTAACCTAAAGCTAAAATTAAAGGAGAGAGAGAGGAAAGAAAGGAGAAATTACTTCTATTCCAGAGGAAGATTTTAGATAACTGAAAGTTATCAGACTTCTAGGGACTAATTCCAGTCTCTCTGAATTAGACCTGGCAAATTGCTAAGAGTTGAAGAAATTTCCAATGCCATTTTGTATGTATTACCTATCATTTGAATGGAGAGCTGAAACCTTATCAATCTTGTACAATTATTATATATAGAATTCATTTTTAGAGAATATGAGCCAATACAGTTTCCATGACAGCATTATATTAAATGAGAAATATTTCCAAGAAGGTACAAGTCATTTGTTACATAATACTTTTCTGTAGTTATCATATTATGGAATTCACTAGTCAGAGAATTACCAAAATATGTTTGTTCATATTTTATATGTCATATTTTATATTACTATATATAGTCAAAATTGCTTTTGACTATAAATATGAAGAACTTTTTATACAAAAATCATTACATATGTGTATATTTATGCACATATACATATATGACAAGTTTAAAAGGAAACTCTTGGCTTAGATACTATAAAGAACTATAAGCATTTTATTACATGGAAAATTACAATAAATATTAAGAAGATGCATGTTGTGTATAAAATAGAGTGTATATCAGTTTAGACAAAAATTGTTCTTTAATAATTTGTTCATATTTTGCTTTTCCATCCAAAACGGTTTTAAGGCAAAGGGAATATATAAACTAAAATCCTTCATTGTGATGACCATTTAAATGAAAATTCAGGGAATTGACACTATCATTTTGATGGGCTTTGTTTTATTAGTAAGTGTGTTATATGTAACCAATGATTTTATATGTCCTACTTAATCTCCAAATTCCTGTTTAGGCATGCAGACAAAATGTAATGAGAGAACTTGGTTGCATTTGGAATATTTGTTTAAAATAAGGTAAACCTTAAGATTACTTTTAACAAAATTATTCTACATACTTTCTTATTTTTTTATTTTTTTATTTTTTTGAGATGGAGTCTTGCACTGTCACCCAGGCTCCAGTGCAGTGGCGCGATCTTGGCCCAATGCAAGCCCCACCTCCCAGGTTCACGCCATTCTCCTGCCTCAGTCTCCCAAGTAGCTGGGACTACAGGTGCTCGCCACCACTCCCAGCTAATTTTTTTTTTTGTATTTTTAGTAGAGACGGGATTTCACCATGTTAGCCAGGATCTACATACTTTTAAAAGCTATCTGTTTATAAACTATGAATTAATAGTTGTAATTCATTGTTATCAAAATTTCTTAGTGATATATTAAAAATTATCAAAAAAATTATTGCTGACTTTCAAGTTGTTATTCTAACTATACATGGTATCACTAATTTGCTTCTCTGTCATTTGAGAGTTAATGATGTTTCCCTCTTAGAGAATTGCAATATACATTGCAAGCACTAGTTAAAAATATAAAGTGATCTTGAGGTGTGTGTACAATTTTACAAAGTTTTATAAGATATTTTAGTACTTGAGCAAATAAATAACCTAGAACTTATATGGGGGGAAAAAAAGCTTCCTATCCAAGAGGGAAATTTTAGATAATTGATAGTTGTTATTCATTCATTTAAACAGAATTTAATATATGTCTAAAGTTGCATGCTGTGATAAATAATGGGAACATATTGGTTAGCAAAACCAAATGTGGCCTCCCCATCACTTTATGGTACTTGCAGTCTAGTGGGGAAAACAAATAGTCATCAAATGATCATACAAACGCATGCCAATTTTCAGCTGTAAAGTGTTATAAAAAGATATTTGCTAATTCCACTAGAACACATAAGAGATGGATTTTACTCAGAGAAGTTAGGAAAGTCACTTTAAGAAAAGAACAGTCAGAATGATATCTCAACTTGGTGTGAAAAGCAGCTGGGCAGAGCCAAGCAACAGAAAAGAGTATAAGGTGCACAAAATGAGGGAAGATTTATGCATGGTGAGGCTGGAAAAATACATGGGGCTCAGACAGTAAGTCATGGTAATGATTTTGTTTCTTATTCTAAAAGTCATGCAAAATTAAGTATTTTAAACAGTTTTTATTAAGTATAATTTGCATATGATAAAATTCACCCAGTTCAAATGTATAATTCAGTGATTTTAATAAATGTACTGAGCTGTGCAAGCATCACCACAATCCAGTATTAGAACATTTCCATAACCCCATAAGATCCCTTCTGCCCATTTACATGTATTCCCATTCTCACCCCTAGACCTAGGCAACCACGAAACTGCTTTGTGTCTAAAATTGTCTGTTCTAGACATGTCATATAAGCAGGATCATACAATGTCGTCTGGCTTCTTTCACCTAGCCTAATTTTTTGAGGTACTTCTATGTTGTACTGTACAGCCTATCCATCCATTTGTATTGAGCACTTCTATTTCTTTGTATGTATTCTACCTTATTTGTTTGCTAGTTTATGAACCTTTATGTTGTTTCCACTTTTGGGCTATATGAATAATATTGCTGTGAACATTCACATTTAAATATTTGTGTGGACCTGTGTTTTCATTTCTTGCGGGTAGATAACTAAGAGTGGAATTACTAGGTCATATGGTAACTTTATATTTAACTCTTTAAAAAAAACTGCTTTTACATAGTGGCTGCACCACTTTGCATTTCTACCAACAACGTATAAAGAATTCTATTTTCAAATTCTTGCCAACACATGTTATTATCTAGATTTTTTAAAATTATAGTCATTCTAGTTGGGTGTCAAGTGATATCTTACTGTAGGTTTAATCTGTATTTTCCTAATAACTAATAATGATGAACATCTTTTCATATGGCCTTGAAGAAATTTGACTCTTGCTTGAGGAGAAGGGGTTTGCAAAGGAAACAAAGTGGTAGCTAAATAAGGAGAACACATGGACACACAGAGGGAACAACACATACTGGGGCATTTTGGAGGTTGGAGGGTGGAAGGAGGGAGAGGATCAGGAAAAATAACTAATGGGTACTAGGCTTAATATCTTGGTGATGAAATAATCTGTACAACAAACCCCCATGACACGAGTTTACCTATATAACATACCTGCACAGGTACCCTTGAACTAAAAATAAAAGTTAAAAAAAAAAAAAGAATCAACCAGACAGGAGAAAAACTAGAAGAGAATGTGCCACAAAAGCCAAGGAGAAAAGGACAGAGAGATTAAAAATATTAATGCTACTGAGAGTCCAAGAAAAGTAGGGATTGAGAAAAGCACTTCAGTGTGAGTAACCTTATCAATAACTCATTTAATGGAATGAGGTGGACCGAAGCCAGACTAAAGAAGGTTGAAACATGAAAGGAGTTGAGAAATGGAGAAAAAGAATATGGACAATTTTTTTCATATTTGGCTATACAGTGAAGAAAAGAGATTCCCCAGCAGGTGGAAAGAGTTATAGGCTTGAGAAACAATTTTATTTTCATGGGAGAGTTTACACAAAATCTTTCAGGAAGAATCCAATAGATAGGAAGACACTGGCTTATATAAAAGAGTGAAGGTAATTTGTAGTGTCACACCATTATTCGTTTATTTAGCATATACTAAGTGCCAAAAATATGCATGGTGGAGTATTCCTTGTTAGTACTGTGAATCAATTTGAGACTTTTTCAAATAAATATTTCTCAATTATAAAACAGAGAAATTAAATGTTATTGAAAGTCTTTTAAAAAGTACTATATTCATGCTAGTTAACATATTATATATGCCATCTAGTAAATGACTTCTGTCACTGGAAATATGTTTAAATCACCGGATGTGACTGTTTCAGACGCAACCTTTGCCCTGTTCAGGGTCTCCACAGCTGTCTGGTCCTGGAGGGAAAAGCTTCACCTGAAAACTCCCAGATACAAGCAAAAAATATTTTTCTCACCTGCTACCTTTTAAACCTGACAAATGAAGGTTTAATGCTATCATATATAGTCTTCCAAGCCCCAGTTTAAAAACATTATTTTTATCCATGATCTGGTGCCTTCACTTAGGAAATCTGAATCAATTCCTTTGGTTTCTTCTGTTCTATATTCAGAGAAGAAATTAACTGGGGAGCAGGGAGAATCAAGTTAAGTGTGTGATCTCCCTCTCCTCTGCTATTGGGATGATGAAGGTGACAGACACTGCTAGTTTTCTCCCTAATATCTTCTTTCTTCTTATTTACCATATTTTTTAGTGCAGCAGTACAGCCAGATTACATTTTAAAAATCCATTTCCCAGCCTAGGGAATAAGATGCAAACAGAAGATTTCCATAGCTTACTGGAAACTTTGGCTTTCCTAATTCAGGTGCTGAGCATTCGCATTGCTTATTCCTTCTCCATGCCGCAATATAGATGTCATAGGTGTGGTAGCAGCAACAGCCAAGAGGGAAAGGCCATGAGAATCATCTGTATAGCCTTGAACAACTGAATAAAACATAGATGCCCATCTGTAGAATACATTTGTGTGGGGGTGTGTGTGTAGGGTGTGTGTGTGTGTGTGTGTAAGGAAAAACAACAACAATCAAATTACTAGTTTTTTGAGTTTTCTTACTTGAAGCCAAACAGACTGTAACTCAGAGAAAGGCAAACTTTTTCTGAAAAGGGCCAGGTAATAAATATTTCACATCCTGCAGGCCATGTTTTCTGTGTTAGAATTCCCCAGCACTCACATTTTGGCACAGAAGCAGCCAGAGGGAATATGTAAAAAAGGGTGCCGCTGTGTTCCAATGAAACCTTATTTACAAAAACAAGTGGCTAGCCAGATATGGCCCATGGGCCACAGACCCCAGCTCTAACTGAAAAAAGATGAAAGTCAGTACATCATCTACTTTATATTTATATCCTAGTTAGTTTTTGAGTTCGTTATTTCTTGCTGGCTGGAGATTATTTAGGAATAAAGCCGGAACTTCATATGTGGCAAGAGAAGGAGACAGGCAGACAACAAGCAAAAGTTTCTGTCCTTGGCTAAGAGATATCAGAATATGGGGAGAATTCAGGGAGATCTTCATTCCTGTAATTGAAGCAACTGCATCAGTAGAAATAGCAAACACATTTTATTCTTTGTCTTGGTTTTTCTCTTTTGCATAGTTAATAATATTAAAACAGAATTGTTTTCGATTTCTTATCTGTGCAAATTTACAATAGTTTAAGAACATTCTGGGTCAAATACATGTTTGTTGGCTGGCCTAGCAATCTGCTATTTCTGATATTACTTCTGTGTTAACTCCAAATTACAAACAATGAAATTACAAATTAACTTTTGGAGCCAAACTTATTCATAAAATGGTAACTCTCACTCTGTATAACTATTCATTATAAGCCAGATCTTCCCAGTGCAGTGATTCTTGGGTATTAATTAGCTGCGTTAATTTTCTCTTGGTACTAAAATATTATATAGTAAATTAATGCTGCTTTGTAAAACAACAACTTTAAAATAGAAGTTGCAAAGCTAATCAAAATGTATTTAGCAGAAAATATTAAACTTAAGTGCTCAGTTTGTAACAGATTCTTGCAATAAAGTGGTAAATCTTGACTAATATTGAGAACTTATTAAGCAATATGAATTTCTTAAGTTTATGCACTTTTGAGATACAATGTATTCAGAGTACCTGGAGCAATTGAAATGATAAGTTTTTTAACTGTACTTTTTTTTAATTATACTTTAAGTTCTGGGATACATGTGCAGAATGTGCAGGTTTGTTACATAGGTATACACACGCCATGGTGGTTTGCTGCACCCATCAACCCATCATCTACATTACGTATTTCTCCTAATGCTATCCCTCCCCTAGCCCCCCACCCCCCAACAGGCCCTGGTGTGTGATGTTCCCCTCCCTGTGTCCATGTGTTCTCATTGTTCAACTCCCACTTACGAGTGAGAACATGAGGTGTTTGGGTTTCTGTTCTTGTGTTAGTTTTCTGAGAATGATGGTTTCCAGTGTCATCCATGTCCCTGCAAAGGACATGAACCTATCCTTTTTTATGGCTTCATAGTATTCCATTGTGTATATTTAGCACATTTTCTTTATCCAGTCTGTCATTGATGTTGATTGGCATTTGGGTTGGTTCCATGACTTTGCTACTGTGGACAGTGCCACAATAAACATATGTGTGCATATATCTTTATAAATGAGGTAGTATTAATGAGTCTCAAGCCACATTCATTTTCCTTCCTTTTCACTTCCTTCTCCCCCTGCTGCTGCTGATCTTTCTTATTCTTTTCTTTCTCCTTTCTTTCCTGTTTCTTTTCTTCTTCCCCTTGTAGGATAATCCACTTTACAGATCATCACTCTGAGGAACACCAGAATGATGATTTTGAAAAAAAAAAATAAATGAGCAAAGCCACTAACGAGGAAGAATTCTGCAAAAACTAACATTGTTAAATCATGTTTAAGAAAGTCAATTTATGTTTGATATATATGGGTTTTAGGCCTGGAAAACATACAGTCAAAAAATATAGCAGGAAAAAAGGAGAGAAATAAAATAAAAAGATAGAATAAAATAGAAACAACTATGGTACTGATAGCAGCCAAAATATAATGAAATTGATCATTCTCTTCAACCATTATTGAGAACTTTGGGATGGAGTAAATTAATGGTATAATATGGAACTATCAAGCATTTTTGCTGTATGAATTATGTTTTGTATTTTATCAGCTTAAATGAATATCACTTTAAGAATAGGCATACCTTCAATTATATTTTATGTAATATAGTGATTTCCAAAACTTTAAATTGTATTTATAGTAATTAGTAGATGCATATTATATATCTTTATTTTCCTTGATCCATATGCACATAAACATGTGAAGCAAAGGTTCTGTGAAACTATATTACTGTGTCCGGAATTGGGGGGTTCTTGGTCTCACTGACTTCAAGAATGAAGCCGCGGACCCTCGTGGTGAGTGTTACAGTTTTTAAAGGTGGCGTGTCCAGAGTTTGTTTCTTCTGATATTCGGATGTGTTTGGAGTTTCTTCCTTCTGGTGGGCTCCTGGTCTCGCTGGCTTCGGGAGTGAAGCTGCAGACCTTCGCGGTGAGTGTTACAGCTCTTAAGGCAGTGCGTCTGGAGTTGTTCGTTCCTTCTGGTGGGTTCGTGGTCTTGCTGGCTTCAGGAGTGAAGCTGCAGACCTTCGCATTGATTGTTACAGCTCATAAAGGCAATGTGGACCCAAAAGAGTGAGCAGCAGCAAGATTTATCACAAAGAGTGAAAAAGCTTCCACAGTGTGGAAGGGGACCTGAGAGGATTGCCACTGCTGGCTCGGGCAGCCTGCTTTTATTCTCTTATCTGGCCCCACCCACATCCTGCTGATTGGTCTGTTTTACAGAGAGCTGATTGGTCTGTTTTGACAGGGTGCTGATTGGTGTGTTTACAATCCCTGAGCTAGACACAAAAGTTCTCCATGTCCCCACTAGATTAGCTAGATACAGAGTGTCAATTGGTGTATTTACAAACCCTGAGCTAGACACAGAGTGCTGATTGGTGTATTTACAAACCTTGAGCTAGATACAGAGTGCCGATTGGTGCATTCACAATCCCTTAGCTAGACATAAAGGTTCTCCAAGTCCCCACTAGACTCAGGAGCCCAGCTGGCTTCACCCAATGGATCCCGCACCGGGGCCGCAGGTGGAGCTGCCTGCCAGTCCCGCGCCCTGCTCCTGCACTCCTCAGCCCTTGGGTGGTCGATGGGACTAGGCACGGTGGAGAAGGGGGCAGCGCTCCTCGGGGAGGCTCTGGCCATGCAGGAACCCATGGGGAGGGGGACGGAGGAGGCTCAGGCATGGCAGGGTGCAGGTCCTGAGCCCTGCCCTGCAGGGAGGCAGCTAAGGCCGGGGGAGAAATCGACCACAGCAGCTGCTGGCCCAGGTGCTAAGCCCCTCACTGCTCGGGGCTGGCAGGTCCCGCGGCTCTGAGTGAGGGGCCCGCCGAGCCCACGCCCACCGGGAACTCGCGCTGGCCCGCAAGCGCTGTGCGCAGCCCCAGCTCCTGCCTGCCCCTCTCCCTCCACACCTCCCCGCAAGCTGAAGGAGCCGGCTCCAGCCTTGGCCAGCCCAAAAAGGGGCTCCCACAGTGCAGCCGCAGGTCGAAGGGCTCCTCAAGTGTGGCCAGAGTAGGCGCCAAGGCCGAGGAGGCGCCAAGAGTGAGTGAGGGCTGCGAGGGCTGCCAGCATGCTGTCACCTCTCATTACTATCTGCAGTGAACTCAATTTTTATTCTAATTTATTTTTTAAAACTTCGGTTGTAATCCATTCATTGTGTTCACAATAATGAAAAATGCTGGTGTGATGGAAAAGTATTTGGGAAATTATAAACAGTGTAGTCACCTATTAAGCACTCAGTGTTCCGTAATGGAAGTTTTATTTAAATGGATAAATAGGATTTATTATGAATGTGTATGATTAACAGAATGTGTAACATCTGCCTTAAAGACAAATCTCATATTCCCTTTTTCTTCAGTTTCCTTCTCATGGACCCTGTTCTTAATAAACAAATTATATATTGTTTAAATACATGATTTACTGTTTCTTAAAAGTAAACCAAATCTATGAATTTCCAGAGTATTATTATGTACATGACAACGTTATAAACATTGTGCACATACTTTGGAAGAGGAACTAATAAGCTTACTTAAGCACATAGTGACATATATATGTAAAATTGTATATATTACATAAAATTATTTGTACATTTTATGAAATATATAATATATAAATTTACCTTATCTAAATGAAGGATTATACTGATGTGCATGTTGTAAGGAAATACAGTTATTGTACATCAAATTTAAAATATAATTTACCTGTGTAATACAGAAATCCATATTGTAAAGAATTTAAATATAGCTATGGAAATTTAAAGATACCCATAGTATGACATTTAGACTATGTTATCATGTCAAAAATTGTCAACTGGCATTATAATATTTTTGAGATTGGAATACTATTATTTCTCTCTTTATTTAAAAAAAAGTTCTGAGGTCAAAGAAAATGTGCACAACTGAAAATGTTACTCTGATGACCTGCAAGGGAGGTCATTAACTAATGTATGTGTGTGTTTGTGTGTGTGCGTAGACATGTATACACATATTCTACTTAAAGGTTTATTGTTAAAGGAGTCTGGTTGTAGGCCATAGCTGTCCCATACTTCCTGATAAATCATTTCTATGATTATTTTGTCATTAAAGCAAAGCCACAGTTATATAGTTGACCTTGTGAAGTACCCTTTGGCTATGAATTCATGGAAAATTAAAGATGGAGCCAGTTTACTGACTGTAAAAGTACGAAAGTAGTTTAAAACAAATCATTCAAAGTATTAGTTTCCTCACCAATCAAAATAGAAGTTACTTCATCCGTGTATTTCTCTTTCTCAATATATTTTATAACATTTTGAAAAGAGTGTGTGTTGTTGGTCTTCGTCTCATTTTGGTAGTCATTTCATTTTCTTACAATGATGTATCCCTTCTAAGTGACTTAACATTGATGATGTACTTTTCTAGCTAGCTCATGCATATAAAACAGTATAAATTATACAAATGGATTATTTACTGAAATAGCTATTTTATAAAAATTATCAATGTGATTTCAAAAATCTAACATTGCCAGCATTTATTATGGAGAGTGCTGGTATCCCACCTTAGAATAGCAATTTATGTTCCTGCAAAAGATTTAAAGGAATTATTCTCAAACTCAGCTGTCCGTCAGCTTTATCTATGGAGTTTTTGAAAAATACGAAGGCCTGAATCTGATCTTAGAATCAGAGTATTCTGGAAGGTGTCCCAGGTATCAGTAATTTTAATACAAACAAAGTCATAATAGAATAATAATACTTTTTTTTTGGAATTCTTACCACATGCTAGGAATGATTTTAAATATTTAACATTTATTTATATATTTAATTTCCATAACAATTCTATTTATGATGTAAGTATTCTGATTATCCTTATTTTAAAGCTGAGAAAACTGAGACACAGAGAGGTTCAATTTTCTGCTCAAGGTCACACAGCAAATAAGCCACGGACTAGCTTTCTGGCCCATGCTCTTCATTCCTATACTCTACTGCTTCTCTAAGTTTTCTACCTTTAAGGAGCATCAGAATAGCTGAGGAGATAGACAGGTATAACATAATTGAATGACACATTGTGTAGCCACTCAACTATCAACAGAAAATGAAATCTGTATTAGTTGAAGCAGAGGAAGAATGATTCAAGGAGTTGTTGGTTATTGGTGGAGGCCACTAGACAGAAAAATGTGTGCCCAATCTTGAAACTGAGTTTGTTATTATCTAATTGATATAAAGTTATCACTTGCAGATTATAGATATGATGCCAACAGTCTTGATAAGCTGTTTAAGTGCATGGCTATATACCAACCAAATGCTGAATTACAAATGGGGTTGACAACAGGAAAATATTCTGTGTGTTTTGCTCTTTACTGTCTCCCAGGAATATGTTGGCACTTGATTTATATTTCATCTATGTTAGGATATTTAGTTTTGCATTTAGATTGTTTGTGAGCATTCATGTTCTAACTTGTTTTCTGGATTTAAATCTCCTGGAAGGTAGTAACTGAGACATCATCATCTTTGCAATTCATACAACTCTTTATACTATAATCAGTCATGAGAAATTATATGTTGAAGGTATGAACGAAAGGAGTTTTCATCAGAAATCAGTAAAAATGTTATAGTAATCATACCTTTTGGGCATTTTAGTGTTACAGTGAAGGGTATTTAAGACTAATGCTAGCGTACTTTTAAAAGTCAGTGCTACTCAAAATGCCAGCATATGACAGATAAGTAGCTAGCACCAGAAAGAAAATGATCAAGGAAGCTGCAAAGAAAAAGAAATGCTTCTTTCATCAAGAAATCTTACTAAGAAAAAAACGTCAGCTGAGCTACAAAAAAGTGCTTACTGATGTAGTTGATGTACATCTGACACAAGTTCCTCTCACACACCAACAACTTGCAGCTGTGTTTTGAGTAGCCAGCCTGCACTTTGAGTGGCACTGCTCTAGAATATTTTAAATAATAATAACCAAATAAATTGCTCATTTTCTTTTCTAAAGCAAAACCTCTAAAGGAGTTTTAACAATTGCCACATTTTGCCTATTCAGTCCATGTAACTTTGCCTACCTCTTTTCACCTGTGGGCACTAGACCACTTTGAAATATTTTACTCTTCTTATAGGATTAATTAATTAGATACCAGTTTGCCAGCAGTTTCATTGGATCATAATTAGTAAGAAAAAGAGGTGGGAAAGGACCATGCTTATTGATAAGTGTCTGGTCAAATAAATCATGGTGCATATGTATAATGGAATACAACAGAGCTGATAAAAGAGTGATGCAGATCTATATGTGTTAAATGATATGTTATAAAATACAGCATAAATCAAAAAATATCATTCATGTAAAACATGCACATATTTGTGTTTACCTAGACAATTTCTGGAAGGATACCAAATAAATTGCTAAGAGTGGTTGCTTCAGGGAAAAGTACCTTAGTTACATGGGGACAGGTTGGGAGGGAGTGTCAGTTTTCACGCTTTAGTATTTTTGAATTTTGTCGCATATACACACATTTTCCATTTAAAAAATCTCTGCTCAGCTTAATCTCTTCTAGTATCTGCAGCTTCTGAGACTGCTACTGCCTACTGAGCAGATCCCTATGGGTCTTTTGATCCTTATATTCTCAAAACCTAATGTCCTGGCACATCATGGATTCTCAGTAAATATTAAATGAGTGAATGACTGCTTAGCTTTCCTCTTGCTAGTTTCTGCTCTCAGGAAGTGTCAGAGCCTAGAATTTTGCAGTATATTGAAAAAAAGTTGGGAATTAGGGCTTTAAAACGTGAATTAAATAAAAAATATGACTCTGAGATGATGCTACTTAATTTTTAAGGCTCAGCTTCTTCACACACACACACACAACAACAACAAAAAAAAACAGCAAGAAAAGCAGTATTTACCTCATAGGGTTTTAGAAGGGAAGAAATCCATCTGTCTATCTATCTAATGTTGCAAATTCTAAGGAACTATAAAAATCCACAATGCCTTGCATATAGTAAATGCCAAACAAATACTTGTTGAATAGAACTAAACCAGTAAAAAGATAGTATTACTTGTTGATTGAAAAGATAGATAATGTGTGTCTTACTATCAGGAACTCCTTAACCATTCTGAATTGTCATGTTAGGTCATTATTGAGTTATTCTTTTGTAAGACTGGTATGAATAGGACAGCCAGTTTGGGGAATTTGCCTAATTTATACCTACTGTGTTCAAAATTTTATCTTTTTCACATTAAGAGAAATTCTATTAAAATAAAAATTTATGAGGTGTTACACATTAACCTTTCAACAGTTGACATTTTAGTCAGTACTTTAGCAGAGATTAGGAGGAGTCCTAGTATGTGTTTAGCAACAATGACCAACAGTAGCTCTTCTCCACAAACTGATGCCCCTTAAAGCCTTTTACTTATAGATTTTTCTGAGAAGTGCTAACTCCTATAATAATTAATTAAATGTCCAAACAATTGGTTTCCAATTACCTGGTGATAAAAAAGAAGAAAACTTTATTCTCAGAAAGATGTATTGTCAGATCATTTTTACAATCGCTGCCTTAAAGAACAGAATGATTCTTGGTTGATCAAATTGTGAAGTGGTGACTTTTGTAGTTCTTATTAGGTATTTTATTACTCTACTGAAGATATATTGATTTAACTCACATGTATACCTGACTGGGGCCACTATGCAGGATGCTTTTATTTTCCTACTTTTTCAGCTCAACATCATATTTTTTTCCAGAACTTTCAAACCTTATTTCTTAGTCAAATTGTCTTTTTAGTAACTGTTTCTTGAATTTATTTAGAAATTCATTCTGTTATATATCTTACTATATTGTATATTTTACATTTTGAAAATCATTATCCTAATTGGTATGTTAAGTAGATAGCAATGCAAATAACATAATTTAATTTTGAAAAAACATCATTTCTCTTCCACCGATTTTTTCAAATACTTATTATAGAATGAAAATTTATGTTGGTTTTAACTACAGATCATGCTTCTCTCCAGCCAAAGATAATTTGACAGACGTCTATCACAAAAGAATAGCTCATAATTGCTACAGGTTCAATTACCCTTAGTTCCTGTACTTATTTTTTTAGCTAAAATTGCATATGTATCATTCTTAATATTATTAGCCACCCTGTTTTTCCAAAGCCAAGAAATTGAAATGTTGTGAAATTATGTGTTTAGCATTTTTTATGTATGTCTACATACTCTAGAAATAGAATTGCTGTGTTACATGATACACTGCACTGCATGTATAATTATGGCCAAGTATTTCATTATTTAAGCAAATTTGTATGTATTTTTATGTGTTTTTCCTATAGTACAAAGATGAACACCTGTGGGGAAGAGTGAGAAAGCTAAAAGTTGTATATTTTAAAATACTAAGCTCATAGTAACACACGCATTTGTTATTTCAAGGATTGCTAAAAATGAATTTCTTGCTGATAACGTACAATAGGAAAAGCGTTCCATGAAAGAGCATCATTCTACTATTAGCAGGTTTTCCCTTGACTGTATTCCAGAGATATCTTTATTTTTCCTTTTTGTATTTACCTAATGGATATCTAACAAATTTCAGTGGATTTAAAAACTTGATATATTTGCTGAAAGATCATTTTATGCTTGTTGACCCATCTTACCTCATTGTACTGTTGAAAAATACAGGTATATTTTTCCATCCATTCTTTGTTTAAATTCAGTTAGAAACATGTAAATGTAGAAAAAATGAATGGTATAAATAAATGACTTTTTAAATCCAAAGTGAAATTCATTATCTTGGTTAAGTTCTTTTCTGTGAAACATTGTGTTTTGGGTCTTAATCAAGGTCAATATTCCTTGATTCCATGCTATTTCAACATACAATTTAATATCACGTTATTTAAATATGCAATCACTAGCCTGTTTTCATAATTTCATAAAAATTTCAGTAGGTCTGCTTTTTTTACTACATGTATTCATTTTCTATTGCTGCCATAACAGATTACCACAAACAGTGAACAATTTAAAACACTCATTTATTATCTCACAGTTCTGTGGGTCACAAGTCTGGGCACAGCAAGGTTCAACTACCAGCCTCACAGGCTGAAATCAAGTTATCGGCTGGTCTTGGCTCTTACTTGAAAACTCTGGGGAAGATCCACTTCCAAGCTCATTCCTGTTGTTGGAAGAATTCAAATTCTTTGCTCTGATAGGACTGAATTATTGATTTCTGTACTGGTCAATCAGGGCCAGTCTGATCCTAAAAGCTGCCCTTGTATCTTTGCATGTTTCTCTGAGGTCCCCTCCAACAATGGCAAGTTGGTTCCTCCCACAGTTGAAATTTCTCTGACTTCTACAGCATCTCTGTTTGCTCTTAAGGGCTCGTATGACTAGATAGTGCCCACTGGGAAGAATCCAGGATAATCTCTTTATTTTAACGTCTGTAACCTTAATTATATTTACAGTACTCTTTTGGCCATGGAATTTACATATTTACATGTTTCAGAGATTAGGGTATAGACATCTTCGTGGGGTCACTCTGCCTACTTTGCTGTGCTTTAAAATTGTCTTTTTCCCTACTTCATGCTAAGAAATTTTCCTTTACAAATAGTTAAGCTTAACCTGTTGGCAGGGGGTAGAGGGAGGCAGTACATAGACCTTATGAATAAATTCCATTCTGTAATTTAAATACGTGTTTTGTAATTGAATTTTAGTTGGAAATTGATTAAGATCAAAGATCACATATGAGTGCTTGAAGCTCAAAATCTGTAAAAATGCTGATTGGTTCAGGTCTGTACATAAACCCACCATTCTTGTTACTGATTATTTTTCAATTTAAAGCCTTATACTAACAAACCCATTCCACAAATTTACTTTTGTGCCTGTCATTAGACTTTTGCTTTACTCTTTCATCAAATTTATCAATTTTGTTTTTATGCTGTTGAGATTTACCACTTTGAACTCTGGAAACAAATTTTGAATTTCCTAAGGTCTTCTTGTCATTGTCATTTGTGAAGATTCCAAATATGATTAATAATTTGCTTCATGGCTTAGTCTGTTTTATATTTTATTTATTTGTTATATCTTATATCCCTGATAAGACTTGAAGATCTTTAAGGGCAAAGGAAGTTCCATCTGTTTTTTCAGTTGAATTTAATTTTTATTTTTGAATACTTCTAGAAACTCTAGTGAAAATGAATCTGTTAATTATTTGTTAGAAAACCTACTAAAAATTTATGTTCAAAAAGCTCTGTTATATACAGTATTTGTTTTCTCCTACATCTTTCAATTTGGAACTTTATTGTTGTTGGTTACTATTTATTATCTTCACATAATTCCAATTACAACATGTCTAATTTCATTTTGATAATTATGAAAATTATAATTTAAATGTTATAACACCAAATTGGTTCTTGAAGCATTTAATTCATTTGTATATTCATTTGTATATTGTCACTTGTATATTTCATTTGTATAATTCATTTGTATACTGTTATTTTCTTTTCAGAAATGAACTTTAGATTGTAGTTAATTGAATATTTTGGTGTAAGAGTGAGCACATTTTTAGTGAGATTGTTACAATAACGTTAATTTAGTAAATCAAATATATTGACCATAGAAATCATTGTGTTTTAAGATTAACATACCTTATGCCACTTTAATTTTACTTTAACATATAACTTTATCTGAAAATAATTACCTTGTTAGAATATAACTAGGCTAGAGATGTTTTTGTTTATAAGCTGTATATCCTGTGAGTTGTGTATCCTTTATACCTAAGATACTGAAGCTCAGGGAAAATATAATCACGTTTCCTGTACCAAATGTTGTATTTGAAGGACATTAGACAGAGAGAGATTTTTCCTATCATGCAGTTTATCCATTCTCAAGGGCCATGTGCTAGTGCTTCCGTTTCTGACCCTCTTAAAATGTGTGACTTGATATAGTATCAGCAAGGGATACAAGAAAAAAAGAAAGAAATATAGAAGAATTCAGGAGTATATTCACTTACAGATATGGATCCTGTGCAAAAGGGAAAATACGTTGCAGCATATTTCACTGTCAGCACTGTGATATGAGTTTCAAAATATTATATATTTGAAGTATTTTTAGCAGCTTTTCTTTTTCAGTTCCCAATTGCTATAATTTTATTGGTAAAAATTATTTTCCAGGATGGAAATAATGAATGTAATTTTAGTGTATAACTTGCAAAAATCATCTCATTTTATATTTAGATCTTGTTTCAATGTATCAGAAACTAAATAGGGTAGATTTATAACCCAAATCTTTTCCATAACCTGAAGAATTCAGAGTCTCCTGCCTCTTTTATCATACCAAGCAAAGTGATAGTTAGGGATAGAAACCAAGCAACATGTCTTAGTGTTTGACTTATACTGAAAATCACAGTAGGCTATTGGTGTTATTTGAAAGAAACCTAGAGATTTACACATACGAGCTCTCTAACCTATTTCTAGCTAACTTATTTTCAAATGGCACACATAAATGGTAAACTCTGATCAGAGACCAGCAACTCCTGGGTAACTCAGTATGTTAACCATTGCAGTATTCTCACCTGTGCTGCAGTCTATTGTTTTTACTAGTTAAAATGTAAATTTTTTGGAATGATTTTGTTAAGTAAGTTATGCTACTAGAGATTATTTGTCAAGTAGAGTCTCATGTCACAATTAGTTGGAGTTGGATTCCTAAGGCCATGGCCTAAGGAAGCAGCCTCTTGAACGTTGCAGTCTACTGAGTTATGCTAAGCAGGTTCTGGGTACAGAGATGTGTCACTTTAGAGATAAGTTATTGTTTACTGTATATGTTCAGGTTTCAAAAGTTGTGACAAAAATAAGATTTCTTACTAGAAATTAGCTTCATTGAAAATATATCAGAAATGCATTTAGACTGTAAACACAGTTTGTTGAGTACTTCAGCTACATCTCCTTCAAGGGAAAGTTGTCCCACTTAAACTGCCCTCGTTACGCTTTTGTTAGTAATCTGGGAGGAAATGAGAGTCATGTATCTTCCATGTCCTTCCTTCAAAATCGCCAAGCCAGAAAGAAGTGAAAAATGTGGTTTTTAGACATTGATACAAGAAAATATTAAGTAGAAGAAACAAAATAAAGCCAAAGGGATAAACATCGGAAGGTTGCTTAAACGGCTTGGTCCCATATAATTGCTTTTCTGTCAGCAGGATTATTAACAGTTTCAGACATCTGAAAATTAAATTAATAGCCTGAAAATATTTTACAGAATGAGATAGAGCATGGTACATGAAACATAATGACCCCACTGAAATTCAGCCAAGCCAGTGCAGCTACTCATTTAGACAGAGTAGACAACTAGTTAATCATCACTGAGCAAATTAGACGAGCAAATTAGTTTGCTACATTCCACAGACTTAGCTACCAAAAAGAGTATATGTCACTAATTAGAATGAAAGAACTCTAAGCATATTATTATCTATATAGAAAGAGAAAGCAAGATTGTAGCTTTGAATTGCTCCTTTCAAAGCTTGAAGCCTAGGTTACGTAGGTATAAATTACACATGCAAGAGTCCATGTGTATGTATGTGTGTTCATGCACATAATTTAAGTAGCAGGCAGCCTTTGCATTTTCTTGCATCTTGACCTAATAAAGTCTAAAAATGTTTTCCAAAGTTGTTTGGAATTCTTTGGGAGTATACACACACCAAGTGAAACATGGAAACATTTTTAAAAATATGATTCCTTTAATTGAAGATCAAAGTAGCCATTTCATACACTTTTTCTTGCATCATATTAAATTATTTTTTCTTTTAAAAAGTGTATTGCTGTTGCATGTGAAATAAATATTTGGACTTAGTTTATCACTGGAGATTAATCTGAAATCATATTTTCTAGCCTTAATTAGCATTCATTTGCTTAATTGTCATTCTCAGCCCCATCATTTCCATTTTTCACTAACTTGAACAATGCTATCTTCTGCTGTTTGCACTTTAATTTAAATTTCTATTAAGGTTTATGAACAGTAATAAGGTCCTGTTTGAATATTCATTAGCTTCTGAATTGTGAGCTATGAAAAGGTGCTTTCTTTTACCTTAATGAAACTGGCACAGCATGGGACTGATCAGTTGTGACATTTGATTTGAGGCATCCAGTGAATTTTCTCATTGTTTATTGACACATCTTGTCCAAACAGCTCCCTCGCAAGTGAGTGGAGTAATGAAGGAGAGAGTACTGCAGCGGAGTGTCGAGCTTTCCTGGCAGGAACCAGAGCATCCCAATGGAGTCATCACAGAATATGAAATCAAGTATTACGAGAAAGTAAGTGCTAAGAGCAACTGAAATGTACAATGTGCTGTGTGTCTCATGTCATCCTACTGTATTGTAGACTAAAGTTGGTCATTATGCCAACAATTTGGAGCTACTTCAAACTTCGTAGTTAATTTTAGCCATTTATAATAACCATCTCTGTGAATCTCTGGCTTATCATTATAAATGTGATTTCTGTGTATTAAGTTTCTGTGTTACACAAATGAAAGTATCCCATTTGTAGCATATATATTTATTTATTTATTCAATTTCTGATATTGTAGTAATTAGATGTAGGATATTTTAGTACCACAGAAACCACACAGCCCAATGCATTTTGAAAAATATTTTCTTTAGTATGTCTGTTTGGGACCTTAATGGTTTGTTTAATTTATGTGGTTTCAGTGATGATAATGACCTCAAATAATTTAATAATTTGAAATAATAAGAATATTTTGTATAATAAATATGTAGTTCTTCAGACTTACAAATCAGATGATGTTATTTCACTCCTTTAAATTCCTCCTGAAATTTATTTTATATATGTTTTAATAATCATGTATGGGACTTATTTACACCTCTCCTTCCAGGAAAAATATTATGGCTTTTTAGCACCCAAGTGCTGCCTTTTTAATCCACCTATAATGACTAAATTTTAGTAACTAGCGATACATCTGAGTATATGAGTATATTTATTTCTGTTTCATTTGGAAAGAGAGAGAAAATGTTTATGTGAGCCATGTTCACAGATCGTGATTTAAAACCCCACCTCACAGACAGACTCAGTGCAAGGTTTGAAACGTGGAAACCATTGCTATTACCAACAGTAACAGTAATAAGTGTTACTATTTTTGGCTTACCTGAGTTACCTGAAGTGCTATAATACACATAACCATTTTAACTGTTTAGACAATAGAATTAGAAAATAGGAGCTTAAAGCTTTGAGAAAACTTTGGGGATGAATGGACATGATTAAATAAATTGAAATGTATATAGTACATTGGCAATAGATACCTTTGTTTTTTTAAAGAAAAATTAGTTTAAAATATGATTTTGTTTTAATGTTCAGATTAAGTTTAAAATATTTTTGCTTGTTACTTACATTATGAATTCATGACTTCATGGCTAAGGTTGCATTTTATATGCTTCATTTATCGTCCCAACAAATGTGTTTTAGAGGGGATTATTGTTTTTAATGCTGGTTTTGGTATATCTGTTTTCCCATGAGAGCTATCAGTTATATTCTCTGCTTAAATTGCATCCAATTTCAAAAGCAATGAAACACATAGGTGGTAAGAGTAAAGTTTCTTACAATATAAATCTGAAATATTTTGCAAATATTTTCTCTAGAATAAATATGTTCAAATCATTTTTTGGCCTTACAGAAATCTACATTCACTAAATTTGCATATTAGGCAACTAAAAGACAATAATAATATTGTATTGTATTATATTGTAATGTATATGCACGCATGCGTGATGTTTGTGTCACCTGAGTTATGCCTAGGTCTTTCGTTTGAGATAAATACATGTAATACAAACTATCATTTTTATAAATGATTATAATGAGGACAATCACAGATCAGTTTGAGTGAATCAAGCTTAAGTATATATTTATTTACACTTTTGCAAATCTCACTGTGAAGGCAAATCAAACAACTTGATTGACATTTTAAGATTTCAATGAAGAATTTCATTGCCAGATAAAGTTGAACACATGTATTTATTATACACCAAATAAGAACTCTCTAATATTGTATATTATGAAGTATAATTTTTACAACTTTTATTCATAAATAGCTTGTGAGAATCATATCAAGGAAGATTTAAATTTTTATTTATTTAAATATTGTTTTGATGGAGTTTTTATATGCTTGAGTTTTTACATTTATTCCCTTCTTAATCTTACTATATATGCACATAAAATATGTTTGATAATGATAGGATAAAAATTGTTAATAAGCATATAATTGATTTTAGTAAATTTGCATTAGCTTTTATATCTGAAATATGAACAAAATGAAATAAATCATGTTTAAAATATTTTCAAACCATAAATCATATATATTTAAACTTTAATATTTATAATTTTACTTTAAAAATATTTCATTAAACTGTTTTGCAGAAGTGGTTTATTCTGTGAGAAATTCAGGGTTGTTTTAAAAAAATTGGTATGTCAGTATAGTAGTAGTGTTATCTGAATTTCTTGATTTAATAACTTTCTGGATTTTTAGCATCTGGCTTTTTTTCTTGCTGAATAACTTTCAGAAAAAACTTAAGAGAACTACATTATGATTTGATGACCTCTACTAAACTGTAGATTGTACAGGTGTACCCACTGTTTGACCAATAGGATATTTTATTATATTATGGCTAAATAGTTCTTGTCACATATTACTTCTGCGAAAGCTAAAAACACCATAAATGTTTTAACTAAATTATTTCGCCCTAAATATATATAACAAAGGCATGTGTTTCACATTTTCATTTTATATTACCTTAGAAGTGATTTAACTTTATAATATTCCACAAAGTACAATGTAGCCTCTATAAAAACAATGGAGCAAATTGAATTAAATTGAAACAGTTGGCTGTCAAATTGTCTGGTTGCAATCACAATTAAATATTTCCTCTAAATATTGTTTCTAGGATCAAAGGGAACGGACCTACTCAACAGTAAAAACCAAGTCTACTTCAGCCTCCATTAATAATCTGAAACCAGGAACAGTGTATGTTTTCCAGATTCGGGCTTTTACTGCTGCTGGTTATGGAAATTACAGTCCCAGACTTGATGTTGCTACACTAGAGGAAGCTACAGGTAAAATGTTTGAAGGTAATTATGCCTTTGGTTTGGATTCCTACTCTCAATAACTCTAGCATATATTAATATTTTTTTCAATATTGAGGTGATCATTTGCACCATCATAATTTTTACATTTACAAATAAATATATATGTACATATAAATGTACTTTGTAAAAGTTCATAATAATTTAACATTTGCTGTTTTGTTTAGCAATTTTAGAACCTTGTGATTTAAATTAGTTTCTTTAACGCATACAAGATTTATTTTTTGAAAAAGGTGAAATTAGAAACAGAAGCAGGACTGATTCAATTTGTGTATTGACACAAGATGTGTTTGTCGACCTCGAAACAATCTTATTCTAAGTGTGTCCATCAAAGCAGCTACTTCACAGAAACCCACAAATGAAGCCAGAATGTGTAGTGAGGTGGACAAGAGAAAGATGGTATCTAAGAACCTGTATTAATTTAAGTGAATTGCCCTTTAGCAATGATTTCAAAAATTAGAGTTCAGGAAGGTCTTAGAACTTGTTTTTATTTTTGTTTTTGACATTTTTCATTTTTGTTATGGAATATTTCATGCATACTAAGGAATCTATTTAAAGTAGATATGAAATATAAGGGAGATAATTAAATGAATATCCCTATGACCACTCATCTTAAAAATAGAATATAACCAGTATCTTTGAAGCCCCTTTATCATTTTATGTTTTACAATGCAACAAGATTATAGTAAAAATGCATGTGTATATATAGTGTATAAGAAGTAAGCAGATATATCTTGGGATGGATGTCCCCATTTGCTGTCAGAGTCCAAGTTCAGAACACCCTGAATACCACTGCTGTTGCTCCTCCACAGAGCTGATGTCTCAGTACATGTTTCTATATTTTGGAGTTTTGATTCCTCCTGATGTTACTGCTCAGGCACATGGTTTACCCAGGTGTTATCTCTTCTCCTTGCCAATCCAGCCTTCCTCCAAAATTCTAATCAAAATTAAGTTGGAAAATATTATATGACTTTTCTCAATTAAAAATATTTAAACAAATTAAATTAATATTTTGATTAAAGAATTATTTTGGCTTTAAAGGAAGAATTGTATAGATCTTCAAAAGGTGGAGTAAATTGATAAATATCCTTTGCATTAACTAATGTTTGTAAAGTTTGCTAGCAGTATTATTCTTCCACATATTTTGTTACATTTTAAAATAAATCTGTAACTCTTATAGCCACAAATAATAAAAACGTATGCTGAAATCATTTTGACATATAAATCATTCACATAGAGTTGTAAACATAAAGGCATCAGTTTAAAAATTTACTACATAATTTGATGTGGTAAACTTAATACCATTATTCATGATTATTCTTTTTAAATAGATTATATAAGATCAAGAATCAGCATATCAAAGTTTAGTGTCCCCCAAAACATTAAAGCATTTTAAGTTAAGATTTCAACATTTAAACATTTGAGTGGTTAGTGTTAAAATGTGCTCTAGTAATTTTCAACTCAGATCTATATCATAATATCACCCTGTAAATTCAGATATAATAAGATACTTCAAATTATGTTTTTCATCTTTTAATAAATAGTTTAAACTTAAAATGTCAGTTATCTCACATTTACCCAACCATTCCTTATTATTTAAAAACACTTTTAGATTTCAAAAGTTTCAAGATGAATTTATGCCTTTTCCTGACTTTGTAAATTGAGAATATTAAACCAAACTATCATTTAATGTGTGCTGAGATTCATAGATATCATTTTTATTATTTAAAAAAGAAGTAACCAAGACTCAGAGATTAAAGTAGTGGAACCTGAAAGATCACATGAAATGTATGTTAAGAATGGATTTTTGCATTAGAATTTAGTGATTTTTACTATCAATATATTCTCTCCTACTGGAATGTCAAGTTGATGAAAGAAGAATCCATATGTCTTTTTCTTACTGTTGTCTTGCCAGTGCCTACTATGGTTTCAGGCACAGAAGGCACTCAGTAAACTAGCAATAAATGAATACTTCACACTGATCAACATAGAGTGAATTATTAATATCAATCAGTATCAGTAGAGAGCTGCCTGGTTTCAAATCTCTCTGCTCTGCCATGTCCGGTTATAGGAGTTTGGATGAGCTGGGTCTCTGTACCCTAATTTCTAGTATAGTAGTACTCAATTCACAAAACATTCTGAGGTTTAAGTTAAATATACAAAATGTCAAGGAGAGCCCCTATCATGGAAAGTCTTAAGTGTCAGCTGTTATTAAACACAGCCTTTCTCAAAATTTTCCATCCCAGGAGCCCTTTTACTATTAAAAAATGTTGGGGATATCAAAAAATGTTTTATATTGGTTATATCAATTAATATTCACCAAATTAGAAATTAAAATGGAAACTTTAAAAACACAAGAACACACAAACATTTTATTAGCCATCAGAGTCATAGTATTATCATGTCATATACCTTCTGAAAATCTTAACTGCATTCATAAGCAAGTGAGAGTAAAAAAGTCAAATAACATCTTCATATTATATGAAAATGACTTTGAACTTGCAGACTCTATGAAAAGTTCTTGAGGACTCTCAGAGTTTTCCAGACTACTCTTTGTGAACCAGTGAGTCAGCATAAGGTACTATGCTAAGAATTAAGGAGGCACAGAAACACACAGTTCATGATCTTTATTAAAAGTTCAGTGAAAGACAGGGACAGGTACACAGATTCTGGCCACACAATTAAGCAGTGGTGGAATGCATGGTCCAGTGATATCACCATGTCAGGGAGCAGTGACTTGCTGTGCCAGAAAGCAGGTCAGAAGGTAAGATGCAGCCTAAAAGAAGTCACTTGAGCACTGTTTGTAAAGAGAAATTTGACAGTCTCTTCCATTGCACATACATCCTAAAATCCCCTTCTGTGCAGTATCCTATCTACTGTTTCGAGTTTTTAAACCATGACATTCTGTTTATAGCCTTAGCAAATTACTTTTAATATGTATTGCCCTGAAATAGATGAAAATATTAACCATAATGTCAACTATGGAAAGATTAAAGTACGACCCTGACAATATACAAAAATGTATAAATAAATATGCACAAATTCTGATTCATCATTCACCTGAGTTCATTTTTCTCATTAGAGTTCTCTTTCTGAAGCTAAGGGAAAAACTGAGCCTAAGACAAGCAGAGAATTAGGCCCATGGGACACATCGGTTGAATGGAAAGAATTTCATAACATATGTACATAATTTTTTCTTCCTCATGACTGGAACTACTCCATTCTTTTTCTTTCTTAAAATGTACATTAAAAAACAGACTAAAAACAAAAAATAAGCAAATTTTTAAAAGACTTGAAGTCATCTTTTCTCTGTTGTGTGATAATAGGCTGTAATTCAGAAATTAGTATTTGAAAGTTGTTTTCTTCTTCTGTTTTTTTAACCTTTTTAAGTTCCCTCAGGGAGCAATTCAGCAGGTGATAAATTAGAGAATGTGTATAATCTTCTTTGTTCAGAAAGTATCTATTAGACCAGAGCGATTTTTCCTGTTTTTCAACACAGGAGCTATCTCTTGTTAGCATAGGTATACAAAATTAAGAGATAAGTTGTCAAAAGGAGACAGACAAACTAGAGAAAGGCCAATCTGAAAAAAACTTTATACTTCCTATTGTGGCAAGATATGTTTTGCCTTCATATGAATTACTTCTCTAGAGATCTAGTCCCTTGCCATCAACAAGAAGGAATGGTATTTCCCATCCTGCCTTAAATTAAAGATTGCAGCTCTTGATTGTTTCAGAGATAGCAAATTATATTAGTTTGACATTATGTATTTTATGATATTTGCAACTGGATCATTTATTGGAATATTCATTTTCATTGTTTCATATGTCCTTGATGATTTTATAAAGTCTGTATTGCTACTGAAAATATGAAACTCTGGGAAAATATGACAATTGTGAATCATCATATAAATAAAACTTCACTAGTTTGGAAAAATGGAAGTGATAAGTGCAAAAATTCTATATCAGAAGGTGTTTTAAAAGACATGCAAACATGTACTTCTTCCCAAAGAGACTGTCAGAAAAGTTCAGCCAGGTTTGCCTTAATGAGCATAGAAGAATTATTTAGTATTGTATAGGAAGGGTTTGCAGTTAGGTAATGATAGTGTTTTTTAAAGCACTTGCAGAAAGTTTGCTTTTTCTAAAATAGGCTAGCTACTTTGTAATCTTAAAATATGAAATGTGTTTACTCATACTTCATGAAAATTAACACAGACAATGTGGCTCATCTTTTTCCTGAATTATAGTGGACTATAAATTTATGATGTTTATGATTACATGATGCTTTCCATTTTAATTGATGATATGAGAGATAAAGCATTTAATGTGTGTTAAGGTACTTCAAAAATACATGAGGTATGTATTTTGGTTCTGATTTCACATACCAAAAAACAAGACACAAAGGGATCAAAATCAAATGCCTTGCTGAGGAACAATAGGGATTTAATAGCACATGCAGATCAGATGTGTCTATCTCTTGATTTATAACTAAGCTTTCAACAACTAAGCAGGAATATAATCATTCAATAAGGCATTTATACGTTCTTTTGTAGCTGATAAATGGAAAATATGTGAAAGTATTGTCCTTACAAGTTCTTTAAAAGGCAGAAATAAACATTTATTTAAATTTACTTTGTTACAATATAATGCAGTTATTTAAAATTATAAAGAATTAAATAGAAAAGATAACTCTAATTTTATTTAACCTTTCAAGTTCTTGCATGGTGTCAAGTATTTCTGAGCCTATTTCCTCTGTTTACAGCTACAGCTGTCTCCAGTGAACAGAATCCTGTTATTATCATTGCTGTGGTTGCTGTAGCTGGGACCATCATTTTGGTGTTCATGGTCTTTGGCTTCATCATTGGGAGAAGGTAGAACACAAAGTTGTTCTAATCTCTAACATAAAATGTATTGTTTTTTAAGAATTATGTCAGCCTATTACTTAGTGTAATAAAATTTTAAATAGTAAATGCAAACATTCTTTGATATAAAACATTAAAGGTCAATAATGTGTCATTCCTTCAAGATCAAAATGGAATATGAGTTTGATCACTGCCTTTCATTTAAAGAGAATGAGTATTGCAGTTTTTATTGGGTGAATATTTTTGCTTATTTTCAGAGTTAAGTTTTCATAATAAATATAGAATATACCTGGGGAAATGTTTACTCTTTTAGCTATTAAATGTTTGTGGACACCATTTAAAAAGTTTTTCTTTTCCAGAAAGAAATATAAGTAAACATTCACCTGTGACTATTTGTGACTCATGAATATTTTTGTAAATTGAACCTTGTGGATTCAAATCATACTGAATTTTGTGTATTCAATCTAAATGTATTTTTTAAAATGTTCCTTTTACATTTTCTCACACAAAAAGTTTGTTTTCTTTGCAATTTTAATCGTGAATCGCTATATTATTACTAAATGGATTCATAACTATGAACAGTAAATTTAACTCTAGTAAGTTGTTGAGTAACTAAGGTACATTGTACTGAATATTAAATATATAAAGTAAAATGACTGAGATTGTCACAAATTTGCTTTCTTCAAGGCACTGTGGTTATAGCAAAGCTGACCAAGAAGGCGATGAAGAGCTTTACTTTCATTGTAAGTGTTTGGCTTTTCTTTATTATGATGTACCCCTATTAACAGAAAAATCTGGTTATTAGCATTGGCATTAACAAAGTCCTCATGCATCATGCTTGAAATTATACCATGAGCTCAAAATGTTGCTTTAAAGCATTTGAATCAGATGTTTAGAATTAAAATCATGTGATGTGAATTTGAAAAAATAAAATATGTTCAGAAATGTCATATAATTGCAGGATATTCAGCTGCTTTTACATCACAATGTTTCATTTTGCAAACTTTGCCCAAGTGTTTCTTACCATCCTAATAATAATACATTAAAGGTTGCATGTGCCCCTTCTCTAGCTAAGGAATGTCATGTCAGGTTACAAAGATAGGCCCTTTTTTAATCCAATGAGTGATGCTACCACAAAAGGCTAAATTAAGGAGCCTCTTTCTCTTCAGCTACTATAAATTACCTATCATTGATAGATATTTCATAGGACATAAATAGTATAATAATAAGATTCATACTTCTGATGTTTTCCTATGGATTTGAGTTAGCTTATTCTTAAAAGTTCATTTTAGAAATCATATTTAGAAGAAAGCTTAGGGACCCAAATAAAATAGATGCCTATCTGCATTAATCTTATTCTTGTTGCAATGAAACAAGATGGCATGTGAAAATGAGAGCACTGAGAGTAACTGTTATTACTTTATGTAGGCAAAATCAAAACCTAACAACCAAATTACTTCAGTTATGATAGTTGATGATGTTCTTACCTTTACCTATTTTCCCCATTTTTAATCCTTAAGAATATTAAAAACCAATTTTATTATTATTTTGTAGTACCCATAATCTTTGGCAAATGTTCTCATGTGTAGATAAATTTCCCATGACATAAGATGTAAGAATTGTATCTTTTGTTGTGTTATTTATTAGATTCTTATGTCAATATCTGTGAAGATACTGTCCTATACCCATCCTAAAGTCATAAGAATATCAAAGCCTCCATCAAGAATTTCTAATACATTTTAGATTTTCTTTGTGATACTTTTTTTTTAATAAAAAAGCTCAAATGACAATGTGTGGTTTAAATACACAAATTGTAAATGCTCTTATCATTCCTAAATTTTCTCAATGTGTTTGTATTTTTGAACCAACAGTTACCTTTAGTTTTCAAAACAGAAGTGCTTTTATGTAACACAAATACAAATTGAATAAGAAATTCTCTTGAATCTCAACCTCTGATGATAAGAAGGGCATGTGGGGTAGTACAATTTACTACAAATTGAAGTTAAATGTATGCCCGGAAGTGGCTTTATTATAAAGTTTAATATTCAAGGCCTCTTACTTTCACAGGCCTTTTTTAGGCCCTGGGAGTGCTGTAGCAAATTTATGTATATAATCATGTATTCTTTCCCCTAAAAAAAGTATCCCAAACTGTATATGGGGTAAGCCTCAAAAAACTTAATATACCCCTGAATATGACTGAATATGTGTGTTTCTATACCCCACTTGGGATTATTTGATATGCCCCCAATGTCAGAACTTCCTTTTGCTAATCTGGCATTAATTTTCCTGCGACAAGCCTCAGTGAAGAGAGAACCATAGGTAGTTTATAGCTAGAGGAAATAGAGAAAAAAGTGGAGGTTACCTTTTTTTGTTTCTATTTAATAACATGTGAGAATATTTTTAACACTTCCCCAGACAGGAAGGAGCAGATCAAAACTTGAATGCCTAAATTTTATTTCTAGTGTAGAATGTATATAGAAGAGTAATATAAGACTGTAGTTCCTGAAATCCCTGGTCCTGCCCATATGTGAACAATTTAATGGCACAATTATTTAATATTACCATAATCAGTATGTCACTTTTCTTTTATTTATTGAGCATATTTGAAATATCCCCCAGTGATCACATACACCAGTTTATTTACTTTTAACTTGCAGGTTAATGCAGAAGGTCAGTTGAAACATGGCTTATCCAAAATTTGTTGTATAGCCTTATGCTTAATTGTCATCAGTCAGTTTTAATATTTTTATGCCATTCACTTTTTTCACATTTCACATCCAGTTTGTAATTAGAAAATATATAGTTGCATGCCTTACTTGCTAATATAGACAAGATAAACTTGCTGTATATAAAGTTTTCATCATTAGAGAAAACTAGCAATGGTGGTTTTAAGATATTGAAATTTCATGAGAAATCAAAATAATATTTTAAAATACAAAAGTTCATACTCAAGTTGGGATAAACCAGAATATTCAGAAATAATGTCAGTATTTTCCTTATTTTAAAACATTCATTTTTAAATGAATAATGAAAAAAGTGCACTTAACATATCCTATCCTGGTAAATTCTTAATATTTTGAGTCACCCTTTTTCCAAGGATATGTTTTCTTGTCATTTGATTAAAACCAGGTATTTTATTTGATTTTATGATTACTTAATATAGAAAGTATAATACTGTGGTAACCAGCTGTTTACAAGTTGCTGTCTTTTTATTCCTCTATTTAGTACATGGACAATTTTCCCAGGTGCTAGAACACCAGATTGAATTTTTACAGAAACTTGAAAGCAACCATTTAACTAGCTTTTAGAGCACTGAATTTAATAGAATGTCCAGTCATTTGTATCAGGCACCCTCAACTTTTCATGGCCCCAAGTGCTACATTTAAAGATATAAACACAATGGAGGAATTTAGTGAAGCAATTCGAATTTACATTTTGTTTCCTCCTACCATTTCTTCTAACAATGTCTTCAAATCCAAGCTGGGCAGTATTTCATGTTTTTATGCCAAAAAAAGCTCTGGTCTGTCAAAATGTTTTATGACAGCTTGAATAAAGAACCATCAGAGACCGTTTGAGATGCAGAAGGTTACCTCCAATCTAGCTCCCTTATCAAAACAAAATTTTAAAAAAATGAAAGAAAGAGAGAATAAAAAGGGAGAAGATGGCTCATTCTCCATCTGCCTGCCAATCTAGGAGGTTAACCTATTGTTTTCTTCCCTTCTCTCTTTTTCTCTTCCCCTTTTCCCTATACTCCTTCTTCTCTCTTTTCTCCTTCTATCCCCTCTCTCTTTTCTTCTCGTGTTGTTTTTTTTTTCATCTTCAGCTTTAGTAACAAATGAGCATCTGTCAGTTTTATAAACTGCAACAATAATTGTTTAAGACAATCAATTTTGGATAAACAATCAACTACAGCAGAATAAATCAAGATTTTTAAATCCCATTTTCCTTTATACATTTTGCTTCTTTTTGTTATGTGTTTACTTTTAAAATATAGTTTTAATGTGATGACATAAGCACAGTTAGGCTGCAGTGTAATATATAAAGAAATATATTGTTCTCCAAATAGTAAGATTTGATGAAAAGATTGTTCAGTGGCTTTGTTAAAACAATAAAGTTTTTTTGAGGATATAGTGTAATTTTTATTGCATTAATATAACCAAATATATGCCTATCTATCTTATCTTTGTCTTTTACCAAATAGATTTGGAATACATTATTGTAATTGAATTTTATTTAAAGTTGACATAGTATTATCTGTTACCTGCATGCTTCTGGGTGCATTTTAAGAAGATTTTAACTTTTAAGATTATTCTATGTTGTTTGCATTTTGACTACCTTTTGTGAGGCATATTGGCTACCTCCTCAGCAGTTAAGATCTTCCAGAGCCTTATAATTGAAAGTTCATATAAACCATTCCTCTTTCAAATCGCTGTCATACTTGGTTAACAGATCCCAGGAATATTGTAAATTTTCTAACTTTACTCTGCATTTTGTATATCTGGCCTCTATTGCCCTTGAAGGTGAAGATGAAACTGTCTTTAGAAGATATCTCTTTGATTCTGTGATAGAAGTCCCTCACATCTTGTATTAATTTTATGTATATATCAACGGTGGTTGGTCTTTAAAAAAATAAATCAAAAGAATAAGTAAGATGTCTAAATGTTTTTAATATTGCTGTCAGTGTAGTAGGCTACCTGTAAATGAAATGTCTTCTTTTCCCAGTGTATTAATTTGATTGATTGACTGACTGGTAGATTTACAAATGTGTTTCCAAGTCCATTACAAACCTTAATATGGCTTGAACTATGCCATGATAGCAGTGAATTTAATTAAACCTCCAGTCTGATAGGCATGTCAGAAATTTTGGTGAATGTCTTTTGTTGATTTACTGGAAAAGCAATTCAGTTAGTAACCTATGAGCTGGATCCTATGTTACCTATAGAAGCTTGCAGATAATACCTATACGCCAGCAGACTGAAGTAGTCTGTTAAAACTGCTGTGAATCAGGTGATGTGGAAGCAAGTTCACTGTTCCAAGGAGCACTCTGCATAATGAAATTCCTGGGCTGACTGCACAATAAGTGCTTTGCTTCATCACAGTCATGCTTTCTTACATCATTACAGTTAAATTTCCAGGCACCAAAACCTACATTGACCCTGAAACCTATGAGGACCCAAATAGAGCTGTCCATCAATTCGCCAAGGAGCTAGATGCCTCCTGTATTAAAATTGAGCGTGTGATTGGTGCAGGTAAGGCTATTGTAGCTTCCTCGTTCAGCTGTTCCATTTAGCCAAGATCGAAAGTCATACATCATAATGACAGGCAAATAATTATCCCTCAAGTATAGAACTTTTGCATTTACCTGAACTGTTGGAAGCAGTGAGGCTGTACTTGTTTATGAAATCTTATGAAAAAATGTGAAAAACTAGCATGTGGCACAAAGAATCCATATATTTTTGGTTTTCTGTTGGATTTTTAAGATATTGTTCTACTACAAGCTACTTTATAATAGCTCTGGCCTGTCATTTAAGAAATGAATTTGTATTTTTAAAAGGTCAGAAATTTCCAGAATTTTGCTGCACATTTCCTTTTACTTGATTTACTGTCTTCTTACAAAACTTTCATTTTTATCTTTTCTCTTGTATTTGTAGGTATTAGCCATTGTACTTTAAATTCATGTAGAAAATTAATGTGTATGAATTAAAGGGAATATTTTCTATATGTATGTATTTTTATACTAATTATACATTTCTGATTCTAATTCCTTTAAATCCAGTAGACATAGTGCATATAAATTCCAGATTTTAAATATTTAATAAATATTTTCTTCTCAAAATTAAAAGGAATAGCAATGTTTAGAATTTGCTGATGTGTCCTCATGCTTTAGTAGGTAGTCTAGGTAATATACTAATATAATATATATAAAAAAATTTTTAAATATATAATATATAATAGCATAATTCAAATCTAAATGTTGACCCTGAGTGTTGGTTAATTCAATTGAAAAATAGTAGCCTGTTTAACAGTTTAGGAAAGCGTAACTTCTATGAAAGAGCTCTGAACTGTATCTTCAAGTTTTAATTTCATTTATGCCATTATTTTCATAAACAACTTTTGTGTCTAGGAAATAGACTCCCCTATATATGGGAATGTATTCAGTGTAACTCACAGGGCTTTACCAAGTATTTTTGAAAATATTTTAAAATGCTTTCAAATAATTTACTAAAAGTTAAAGAAAAATAATTCAACGCATTTACTCTTAAAAGAAAATTACAATATTTAGAAACTAAAATATGCCTGCTTGTTCTGTTACTTCAGGAGAATTCGGTGAAGTCTGCAGTGGCCGTTTGAAACTTCCAGGGAAAAGAGATGTTGCAGTAGCCATAAAAACCCTGAAAGTTGGTTACACAGAAAAACAAAGGAGAGACTTTTTGTGTGAAGCAAGCATCATGGGGCAGTTTGACCACCCGAATGTTGTCCATTTGGAAGGGGTTGTTACAAGAGGTAGATATTGGTTATATCTTTATTTTATCAAAAAGACTGAGTGTCAGAAATTAGTATTATTATGTACACAATAAAACAAATTATGAAATATGTTGCACAGTCTAAATGAATGTGTTTTCTTGGTATGTAACTAATCAAAAAATTCTTCCTTTATGTTATCACCTCAAGGGAAAAGAAAGCAGAAAAAAAATGAATGCAAGATTAGAGTTGAAGAATAACTCTGATAGATGGAATGACTGATAAATGTTTTTATTTCTCTTCAAGAGACATAATAATTATGCAATATAGTCTTTACATTTTACATAAAGTGTAATTTTCTCTGAGTTTTACTCACAAAGCAGGAGTCAGAAGAACACAGTGACTTTTATTTATATGGTTTAATTTTATGAATCATGACCATCTTCCAAGCAGACATATAATGACTTTTTGAGCTTAGCAGCAACAATAAAAGAAATGCTCATACTTCTCACACTCACTCTTTCAAAAGAACACCATGTGTTTTATTGGGGGATGAGAAAGGAAATGACCCTCCAGCTCAGGTTACGACTCCTGAAACTTTTTTTTTTTAATTTTAGGGAAACCAGTCATGATAGTAATAGAGTTCATGGAAAATGGAGCCCTAGATGCATTTCTCAGGGTAAGTACCAAAGTGATCCACTTATTCTAAATATACTATGCTTGCTACCAATATAATTTTATGAACTTTTTTTGCAATGTAAAATGAGAGCCTTGTAAAATAGTAAGAGGTTAGAAGATTGTCTTTGAAAATCAGATTAATAATCAGAGTTCAAGACTAGATTAAACTAGAATATTTTGAGCATTGAAGTAATACAATGTGGTCAAGAAGTTATTTCCATTAATATTATTACCTGAGGTATGGAGGATGCCCGAAGCCCTGTAATTTGAATTCATGTTATAAAACAGTATATACAATTGTAAATGAAATATAGAGATAATATGGAAAAGACTAAAAGGTGAGATAACCATTCTGTGTTGACACTATGATCACAACTCTGCTCTGTAGAACCATTTCTATTTTATTGTTAGGTGAACACCAAGCATAAAATGTATGACTATTAACATTATTTTTCAAATTAATGGTATGTGGTTTATTTGTAAATGACATATAAATCCAGAATATATAAACATAGATATTTTTATTCTCAGAGGCTTTTTAACTAAGAATATTAACATGTGAACATTTTTCCAAATGGCAAAGAAAAAATAATCTAAAGAAAAAGAGAACATGCAAAGTTATTTAATATGATCTAGAATCATATTTAACTCAGGCGTATAAACAGTCATAGGATTTAGAGAAACTTTTATTGCTGCATCATCATGATAAAAGTATCAACTAGAAAATTAATCAACTCAGACTAGCATACTTCATCCAGCATGTTTATATTCAGCTGGAGTAATTTTTTGGTTAAAATGGGTTGGAAGTGGCCAGTCTGGTTGCAAACAGTTCTCAATCCCATTTGCTAGTACATCTGTCCTAGAGAATCCTTGTTACAAGTAATGCTCCTATCAGTAGCAAAACTAAGAAAAAATGAAATGGAAACAAAGTGGCCACTACAATTACTTTCTACATTTTAGTTTCTCTTCATTTTGCCTCAAATATTTCCCCCGTTGCTCTTTTTTAGCATTTAGAGGAAAATAAACCTTATTATATGTATATTAATTTCTTTATATACTTTTATATTATTTAGACTTTTTGGCATGTGGGGAAAACACTTAGCTATTGGGGGTAATTTTTTAGATACTCTATTTCCAAACTTAAAAATTAGCATATACTTTTGGACTTGTGCAAACTCAAACTGTTATTAGTTCATTTTAAAATATCAAATTAGTATAAATAACTAAATGATTACCAAAATTATCTTATTTGGCTGTCAGCTAAATAAGCATGTTATTTTTTTCCACAGGTATCCATATTATATAAAAAATTAACAATTCCTATTATACAATAGCAAATTGCTAGCACGCAGATATTTTTCATGGTGATTTTTGTCCCTTTTAAAGTATGCAGTTAACTGGGCTTTTATTTTTGTCTTCCTGCAGAAACATGATGGGCAATTTACAGTCATTCAGTTAGTAGGAATGCTGAGAGGAATTGCTGCTGGAATGAGATATTTGGCTGATATGGGATATGTTCACAGGGACCTTGCAGCTCGCAATATTCTTGTCAACAGCAATCTCGTTTGTAAAGTGTCAGATTTTGGCCTGTCCCGAGTTATAGAGGATGATCCAGAAGCTGTCTATACAACTACTGTAAGAAAAAGTCATTTACTGCACTTCTTCATATTCTTAAGATTTTTCTACCACGAAAGCAGGACCTAATAATGTAAAACTAAACAGGAGAAATGAAGCAAATTGAGCTAAGCATTTTGAGGTTGCTTTTTTTGTTTTTTGTTTTTTGTTTTTCTGGAAGAATCATTGTTTGTACAATATATATATAGACTAAGAAGGAAAGTGTTGATAACATGACTGCCCTATATTGGGAGAGTCATAGAATATAGTTACGTACAAAAACATCTAGCTACTAGCACTCATATTTGTAGAAAACTGTAATCACATTTTAAATAAAGATTTAAAGGAATATTAACTATGCTAATCCTTATAACTTTTGTAAGATTAGAAAAAAAGAAAATATGTGAGAATGTATTTAAATTATCCATATTTTATTTCATTTTCATAGTAACTTTGCCTAGTTTGTCTTTGTTGTGGCTGTTGTTGTTGTTGTTGTTGTTGAGATGGAGTTTTGTTCTTGTTGTCCAGGCTGGAGTGCAATGGCACAATCTTGGCTCACTGCAGCTTCCGCCTCCCGGGTTCAAGCAATGCTCCTGCCTCAGCCTTCCGAGTAGCTAGGATAACAGGCGCCCACCACCACGCACGGATAATTTTTTTTTGTATTTTTAGTAGAGACGGGTTTACACCATGTTTGCCAGGCTGATCTTGAACTCCTGGCCTCAGGTGATCCACCCACTTCGGCCTCCCAAAGTGCTGGGATTACAGATGTGAGCCACAGCACCCAGCCTGTCATTGTTTGTTCAATATACTCTTGCCCTAACACCACACAAATCTCAATCAGTTGAGTTGCCTTGTAAACTTGAAATGATGAAACTTGTAATGGTATTCTAAAAATCAGATAAATAACTTTAAATACGCATAGAGATTCAAGATGGGTAGACCTGATGCTGCTGAACTACCAACCAAAAATGCACATATGTATTTATGGTATTGCCATAAATAATATATCAGTTATTATACATATTTAAAATGTTCATTTCTTTTTATAACAGGGTGGAAAAATTCCAGTAAGGTGGACAGCACCCGAAGCCATCCAGTACCGGAAATTCACATCAGCCAGTGATGTATGGAGCTATGGAATAGTCATGTGGGAAGTTATGTCTTATGGAGAAAGACCTTATTGGGACATGTCAAATCAAGATGTAGGTGTTACATTCATTTAAACAAAAAGGATTGAATACATTAATGGCCAGTATTACTGGAACATGTAGGTAAAGGCTCATTAAGAACACTTTTAAATAATTATAAAAATACAGTTTTCCACAATTACTACCACACTAATTACCATAAATTAGTGGTTCTACTAATTTTATTATTTTGGCTTTCATTTTGAATAATCACTTTCTCTTTTTATAATATAAATTCTATGGACACAAAATAGAAGCTTACTAATGATATTTCCTCCTTAATAAAGATAATGTTTCCACACTTGCACAGCTGGAGTGGGAGCATCACATGAGTAAAAGAATCATTTGTGAAGAGGAGGGAAGGAAGTTTGGTTGTGCTTTGTTTTGTCTTTGAAGCTTATCTTTTTCTTTTAGTGTTCTAAGAAAATTCTTTAAATTATCTACTGTTGATTGGTTTAAGTTTTAGTTTCATGGGACAATCTAGATTTTATGATCAATATTAGTAAATGTTTCATAGTGATATTTTAGAATGTAATCACAATAAGAATATCTTTGGAAATTCCTTTTAAAAGTATATTTATTAAATGTACATACCCTGTTGCCATGAGGACATGCTAAAACATAAAACATACTGTTTTCCGTTGAGAAAAGAAACTGATGGTAGTCCATGTGAGCGTGTATACATCTCACACCAAGAGACCACTTATAAAACAATATAGCAAAAGTGCAAAAAAAAAGTTGCTTTTATTAGGTTGAGTTTGTTAAAATGGCCATTTTGTAGGCCAAGAGCACTTATAGTTCAACCTATTGAAATATGAGTGAAAATTAGATAAATGTAGAGCCAGTATGAAATCTAGGAAGATATCCAGGATTGTACTAAAAATCTGGTGGATACCTTGGTTCAGAGCTGATGAGCCAATTCTCTAAGGAAGCACACTGGAAAGTTGAGAAGTTAAGGTTTAGAGGTGTATGAAGACCGATCAAATGGACTCACTTTTCTATAACAGAGATGTAGTACACTTGTGGTAATTAGAAATGAAGATGTAGGTTTGGACAAATTGATGAAGGAGTTTTCAGAGGAGTCTGGAAATGATACTAATGCAAATTCTTGGAGTGTGGAGTCAAAAAAATAAGTAGTGTTTAAGGAAAATCTACATTGGGTCTTAAAACTTACAGTAGTGATTTTTAGACAACTAACATTTAGACTGTTTTATATGTTGTTGATAAGGTTATTTTTGATACTTTCCCTACAAATTTTTTCATTAACTGAGAAGTCCACAGTCTGAAAAGAGGAAGGTTATAAATCAGTTATATCTATTGATATTTTGAATTGGATGATGACATAAAACTTTTTCATTTGCTTTTTGTTTTGTTTTTGTTTTTCAAAGATAAAAGTCTAAATGATGAGTCTGTTTGGCAGAGGCAAAGTTGTTAATATTTGACAGGTCTCAGTGTCAAAGATTTCATGGACTGTCAAAATTTGGACAAACAAATCCTTAGGGCAGAGAAAGAGAAATATTTACATTCCCTAGACACTCCATGGAGTTTCATTTCTTTTGACACCTTCCTTCTGTATTGGATTCAAACATAAAGGGACTGACAGGACTGACAAATTCAGAGTTCACTTAACTTCCAAAAACAAATAATGGAAATGGTTAAGAAGAAAAAAATTAATTTCTCCAATTTTAAATTTTAAAATGTGTTAAGTATTGTTTTTTGTTTTTCTTAAAAATGAACATTATGAATATAGCCTTACTATACCAAGGATTAATATTTTATTAGTCAAATGACATAATTATGTCTATTGTGCAGTTTAGTTTTAACCTAAAATATTTGGCACATTCTTTAATTTTTTTATTTAGGAGGTCTAAAATAATTAATAAATTTGGTCACAGGTTTGTTTAGCAGTGAGAGATTACCTAGATAGGTCAGTTTGTACAGTGAAATTGATATTCATATTCTTCTTATTAGATAATATTCATTATTTTATAATTATGTCAGTAGAGTGCTATTTGAACAATTATATGTTTAATTTTCAATATGCAAATGGAGAAAAATCAGATAATTTAGGATAATGATTTCCATTCTGGGATAAAATTTTCTAGATAAAAGCTTTTTTCTAGGAATCTGTGGTAGGAGTTCATGGAGAGACTTAGATCTATGAACCCCTGTGAACCCCTGATACATGTGGAAACTGCTGTGTATGTGTGAATATATTATTTTTTTTTCTGGGAAGGTTGCCTTCCTCAGATTTTCAGATGTATTCATTGTCTTTTAATTAGCCTAGATGGATTTATCAAGTGAACCAATTAACTCTACATTATTAAAATTTAGTTGCTAGGAATTTGTCAGGGATTTTAGAAAGCCCTCAAATTTTAAATGCCTCAGATTTTAAAAGATTTTTTACAAGACACAAGAAAACAAGATGTACAGTGATGGTTACATTTCTAAGCAAGTCCACACAGTTCCAGGCTGAATGCTGGATAAAGTGAGGTTTTTGTAACCTGAAGAGACACAAAAGGGTGGTGTAGAAGCTAATGAGTGAGAAAGTTCTGGACTATCTGAACAGTTTGTGTAACTCTGGACAAGGCAATGAACAAGAAAAACCTAGGGAAAACTAATATACCTATACATGACCAGACTCATACTCAAATAGGTTATCCATTAGTTAACCCTTGAATGGGCACTCATTTGTATTTTTATGTGTCTATTATTTTCTTAAGTTTTAACTACAATGGAAACAGTCGGATTCAGTTAGTTGCAATTAAAACCAAGAGGTTGAGCTTTCCAAATAAATTTCCAACTTTCGTTCTTCTAAAAAATCTGCAAACATTTAGCTCTTTCCATTAATGACTTTTCAAAGAAAAATCTTCATGTATGTAAATGTAGTCAAATATAAGAAATATTGTGGAAATTGAAAATATCCTTTTGGTTTTCACAGCAGCCATCTTTTAACTGAATTTTATATCTTGATTCATCCAAATCAACTTTTTACCCTCAAATTATGAAATTTTGAAGTTTTTTACTATATAGATTTTTTTTCTTCTAGCAGTATTTTTCTTACATTAGTATTTTAATGTATTGTAATATAAGAAAAAATACTACTAGCATAAAAAGAATAAAATCTATATAGTAAATTAGTATCCTAATAGTTAACATAAGAAAAAAGTATTTTTAAAAAAATAACGTAAGAAAGTATTTTTTTCTTATATAAAACTAGGCCAGTAAATTGTTAATTTTCCTAGTAGGTAGATATTAGGATGTTAAAAAATTTAAGCTTTTTTAAAGATATGAGACATAAAGATAATCCCTTAAAGCCATATAAGAAAAGTCATTTAAGGGCTTGGAAAATATAATATACTCATAAGTAAATGTATTCTCAGCTAAATTGTGAGACCTCATTTTCCTTCTAAAAGTCATCACTGATTTATGACTTTATATTTTTTCATGTTAATATAGAAGCAAAATTATGATGTTGTTTTATGTAAAACTTTGCCAAAATCTCATAAGTGAAGTCCAACATATTTAATTGCATAAAATGTGGGTCATGTTATTGTGAGGTTAATGAAATAGAAAATGAGTATTGAGCAGAGGACAGAAGCCAATCATGTCATATGCCATTTTGAGTTATTACAGGCTCGTTAATGGGGTCTTACTGTGTTCCTTTTTCTCTTAATTACAATGGTCATACTGTAATAATATGGAAACACTTCTCAGTAAGTAACTTTTGTTTTTATTTCTAAGTATTGCTTTACAGCATTTGCCAAAGAAGTGGTCCCTGTTGTGTCCCAGAGATCTTTTTTAAAATTACATTTACCCAAATCACTTCTGGTTCCTCTGGGAACTATTTAGATATAGAATTGGTTATGAATGAATTTTATTAGAATACTAAGGCAAATACAAGGAGTTTCTAGTAATTTCACAAGAATATGTTTCAGATGAATTCAGTGAACCAGTTACATAATCCTCTAAGAAGTGGAGGGCCAGCTATCTTACCTCTGTGCATTGTTTTTCCAAGAATATCTAACTATATGAAGAATGTACCTATTTTTTCATTGGAAAAATAATGCCATTCTTAACAGCACAGGCTCTGGTCTGTGGCCTACGTCAAATTCTGTCTTTTCTACTAACAGCTACCTGATACTGACTGGCCCTCTCTTTTTTTTCCTGTGCGCCACACATTCTTTATCTCTAGAATCAGTATAATAATGATACTTAAACCTAATAAGGTTTTTGTAAGAATCAAATAAGATAATTCAAGTTTAAAACCATGCCAATCATATAATAAGCACTTAATAAATATTAACAATGATTATTAGTTGCATATTTAACAAGAAAATTGTTTTACTGCTAGGCTAATAAATGAAAACTGCAGAACCTCAAAGTTCAGTTTTTGCCTCAATTAGCTCCTATTGGCTGGTTTTGTTTCAAAGGGTGTATCTTGGATTATGCCAAACTGCTCTATAAGGTCGAAGAGTTCCCAGCAAGTACCTTAAGTGTTCATGTCCATAGGGATGTGACTATTAATGAGATTATTAAAGTCCCAATATCTCTTATTTTAAATGTTATATCTTGTTGTTATTCCTTTAAAAATGTATAAAACATTATATCTTTGAATATAGCTAGGAGTTTCACTTTGAAGTGAGATCAGTGTTGTTTCTCTACAATAACAAAAGGAATCATTAAATTTCTGTAATGCAGTAGGACAACTACAGAGGTTCATTAACTTATTTTTCTAATAATCATTTAATGGTCCTATGTTCAGTGCTACAAAAACTTAAGAATATATTGTGTTGAAAGCTAAAGAATCAATAATTTTAAGTGTTATTCTGAAAGCTTGAAGTGCTATTGAAAAGTATTATGTCAAGAGGGCATGATAAGATTTAGATTTACATTTTAAAACATTATTTGGAGGGAAAGAAAAAAGGAAAGATCACTCGACTTACATTGTTCCTTTCAGGACACCTGAAGATAAGCTATAAGCAGGGAAATAGGTTAGGAGGTGGTGGGAAATAATGAGGACTGAATTAATGTTATGAGCATTAGAATGCAGTCATGTCAAATCAGAAATAGACTGTATGTGTTTAAATAGAAGCAGCCTCAAAGACAAAAAGCCGCTCATTTTCCAATGAAAAAAATACCCCCAATTGCTTATTGTGTGGTCATTTTGAATATATAAAATTTCAGAAGTTATTAGTTTATTTATTCCCAGCTTGATCTGCTATTTAAATCATTTAACCCAACTTTCTAAAAGTAAATTACTTTTACTTTTATTCACATTTTTTAACATAACATTTTTGAATCCAAGTACAGTGCTATTACTGGAATGTTTTGCAAAACCACTGAAATTCTTAGCACTTAAAATGTTTTTTAAAAAATATAATTTCTCCTGTACTTATATATTTGTGATCCTTGCAGAGTTACCATTTGTATATATTTGTTTGATGTATAGCTTTTAAAAGGGATATTTTAGAGGAATGTTTACAGTGATATGCAACATTTGTAATTATGGGATCATAAAAGGAAAATTTTAAGTTCTGTCATATGACCTCCATTGCATTTAGTACCAACACTGATTAAGGTCACTTAAGGCCAAGGTGTTTTCTCCATAATTGTTGTTCAAAATAAAATACTTAAAGAAACACCTCAGTGTGAAACTTTGTAAAGACTTAACTATGAGATAATCACTCCATCACTTCAGGGATATGTATATATAGAGAAAGATATATAAATGTAGATACAGATATGGAAAAATACTTTTTCTAGTATTTGAGCATATATTGTATTTGGGAAGTAGAAAATCATCAGAAAGTGGTGACTAATTGTGTATATAAGAGGATGTGAGGCAGGAGGATCAGGATGTGAGGCCCTGGAGTTCAAGGCTGCAGTGAGCTGTGATCGTGCCACTGCACTCCTGGATGACAGAGCCTAGTTACAGAGCAAGACTCCGTTTTTTGTTGTTGTTGTTTGTTTGTTTGTTTGTTTGTTTTTAAAAAGAGAGAGAGGGAGAATGAAAGAACCTGGGACAGTTTTCAGCTTTCTGACTGGGACTGGATGTGCCGTTAGTTGAAATAGTAAAGGATTGGGAAGAGAGGTGATAAATTCAATTTTAAATATATACAGGGGAGGTACCTATGGACAATTCAGATGAAAAGTTTAATAAACTGATAGAAATACAACCTAGTGATTAGGAGAGAGTTTGGTCTTAAATTTTATACTTATATAAATTTTCAAAAATTACTATAACTAAGTCCATCTATTTACTTTTTAAACTTTAGAGTTAGAGATTTTTCTTAAAGAAAAAAGTATACTTTTTTCCCTTATACAAAAGAATTTTTTTTCAAATATTGTTGATGCCAAGTACTGTACTCATTACATCCTATCCTACAACCTTTTATATTTTAAGGTGCTATTTTTGAATGTCAGCATGCATCTTAAGGATGTGTTTCCCTAAAAATATTAAGACCATCAACATTTCTTAAAGCCAGCTTTTTGTTTGCCTACTTTTGGCCTTATTTTCTTTGAAAATTCAAAGATTTTTTTTTTCCTCAGAGGGTCATTTTTTGTTACATTTCTACCATTATATCAGTCAGTGTCAAAGGATTTGTTCTTCCCCCTCGAATGCTGTTTTAGTGTTCTCCGATCCCTTCTTATTTCTGCTGTTTGTCTTCTTGTTCTCTTCCCTTTGCTGCTCAGATTTGGAACATTTTCAGGTTTTTAAGATCTATTTTTGCCTTTCATATAAATAAAAAACCCAAGTCTGAATGATAATTTTTCTGATTGCTACATACAAATGTTTATAGGGGCCTATTTTTCACTAACATTCAAAGCTTCATATAAACAGTTTTTTAGGCTATTGGATATAATATTAGATATGCCTATTAGGCAGTGGTATGCTATTAGATATATTAGGCTATTAGATATAATATTAGATATGCCTATTAGATAGGCAGTGGTATGCTGATAAAAAAATAATAATAAAAACCAGCTCTCTGGGAAAGCCCTGATTTGTACCCTTTCCCTATTTCCTGCTGTAACCCTTCCCCCACGCTGATTTCAAT
The DNA here is from genome assembly GCF_000001405.40 of Homo sapiens. NCBI lineage: Eukaryota > Metazoa > Chordata > Mammalia > Primates > Hominidae > Homo > Homo sapiens. The sequence goes on along the minus strand of NC_000006.12, from coordinate 93,247,600 downwards.
CTGCCAGTGTAAGGTAAGGGAACTTGGAGTAGGGAAGGGATGCAGTCGCCACTCATAAACCAGTACAACCTCGCTCCTGTCTTACAACTACTGTCTTATAACACTAACAATAAGCTTCATATTATTTAAAAGACTCATGTGCTTGGTAATATTTTCTGTCATAGTACATTCATATTATTTTGCTACCCTGTTTAAAAGTGAATCATTTTGGCTCATTCTGGGTAACTCAAATTCCTTTTACAACTTGCAGAATTATTAAATGTATGGGCACATATGGATACTCACAAAGATATACAAGTAAGATAGTTCCATAACATGTTCCCTTTTGAAAGCCTCTGGGATGATGTTAAAACTATTTCCATCTATTGTACCCTGGATGAACTTAATTGCTGTTCCCTATTGCTGAATTAACTAGGAAATGTCATCATATCCTGCACTTCACGCACTCCTTAATAACATGCTTAATATTCATGGAAATTTTGGGAAAAAAGTAAGTCTTTTGTGAAGCATTGTGCCTCATTCTTCTCTGGATAAATCATTTTGCCTACCAGGAAATTTGGTTTATTATAATTGAACCTAAATCAGTAATATTTGTAATGTCCTTTTGGCTATTAGGTTATAAAAGCAATAGAAGAAGGTTATCGTTTACCAGCACCCATGGACTGCCCAGCTGGCCTTCACCAGCTAATGTTGGATTGTTGGCAAAAGGAGCGTGCTGAAAGGCCAAAATTTGAACAGATAGTTGGAATTCTAGACAAAATGATTCGAAACCCAAATAGTCTGAAAACTCCCCTGGGAACTTGTAGTAGGTAAGAAATGCCTAAGGGAATGGAATCTGGGAGAAATTACAATAGTAACATAAACCATTTATCTCCTCCACCCCACCACAATGGCAAATTGACTTTTGTGTTGACGTATAAACTCATATTAAATGTATTGCATTTACTGAAGTTTATTTTTTTCTTTTCAGTTAGGCTTACCTTAATTAGTGTTTGAAAAGAATCTATTAGTTATTGCATTTTTTAAACTTACAAGTATCACTAGCTGCTTTTATAAAAGAAACTTTATAAACTGGATTTTTGTGATAAGATAGCAGCAGTTCATATTTTCAGACCAATATTATTATTATTACATGGGTTTTTATTACTGTTGTCCTTGTTTTTTGTTATATGCATAGTATCTATTTAACTGTTTTGCTTCAAGTCATTTAATAAATGATTCAATGATGTTAAAGTTTATAAGAGAAATTCAGGCTAGGTGCGGTGGCTCACGCTTGTAATCCCAGCACTTTGGGAGGCCGAGGTAGGTGGATCTCGAGGTCAGGAGTTCGAGACCAGCCTGGCCAACACAGTGAAACCCCATCTCTACTAAAAATACAAAAATTAGCTGGGCGTGGTGGCGGGCGCCTGTAATCTCAGCTACTTGGGAGGCTGAGGCAGGAGAATTGCTTGAACCCGGTAGGCAGAGGTGGCAGTGAGCTGAGATCACGCCACTGCACTCCAGCCTGGGCGACAGAGCGAGACTCCGTCTCCAAAAAAAAAAGAAAAGAAAAAAAAATTCAATACATGATTAAAGAGGTGTACTCATTAAAAAGAGTCCATTCATCCTTTGCATTTGGCTTGCTTGATTGTAATGCATGTTAATAGTTATTCAGCCTCAGACGCCAGGTAAGATTGATGCTCTGGTTTACATTGGTAGTAAGTTAGGCACCTGTGGAGGTGTTCTAACTCCCCAGGCATTCACAAGAATGCCATCAGCAAAGGAGATGCACAATATCTCTACAGCACCCTCGTGGCCTGAACAGGTTAGAACACAGCCATATGTGCATCATTTACTCCCAATTACTTTTGGAAAAGCAAATGAACAATTATTTACTGATTCCAAATATTGTTGGCTGTACTTTTAAAAACATATGGAAGACAAAACTGGGTGGTCATCATATCTAAATAAAATGTAAATTTAGGAGTTTGTAGTTACTGGCCTCCTGGATGCTTTAGGTTTTTATTAGCATATCGATGTATTTTTTATTATGTACACCAATTAAAACATCTAATTTTGTTCTTTATACCTTAATTTTATATGGGCCAAAACATTCTTTCTTTGGTATTTCAGGATAATGTTCGCTTTTCTGTTTCATTTTTATCTAGGCCAATAAGCCCTCTTCTGGATCAAAACACTCCTGATTTCACTACCTTTTGTTCAGTTGGAGAATGGCTACAAGCTATTAAGATGGAAAGATATAAAGATAATTTCACGGCAGCTGGCTACAATTCCCTTGAATCAGTAGCCAGGATGACTATTGAGTAAGCTTAAACTCTTAAAATTGTATTTAAGGATTTATTAGGTACAATCTACACTTTATACATTAGGTTATCTTCTTTATATTAAAAGAATTTGAATCCCAAAATCAAGATAAAAAAAATACTTCTTTAACAAGTTCTTACTGCGTACCAGGCATTATACTAAATAGACCTTTAAACATATTACCTTTTTAACCTTCACAACAATAATTGTATGAAGTCTATAGTTTCATACCTATGTTGTTGCCAACAAGGCTAAAGTTCAGAAAATTTAAATATTTCCCCTAAGCCAAGTTAACTAGTAAGTAATAACTAATTTGGCTCCATAGCTGGTGTTCTAAACACCATCCAGTGAGGCTTCCTCTGTAGTTAACTTCTGTATTATTTAGATTCCTATTCACTGGGGAAACTTTCTCCATTGCAAAGGAGGATTTCTTTCACCATGTTTGTGTTGAACTTAAATAATTTCAAAACTTTATACTCAATGCTGAAATGCATTAGAACGTCCAATATGATTATTTCTGAAGAGATCAAAAGAAGCTTAATTCAGTTAACCATAGCTTAAAAGTAAGAGTTCAACTTACTTTTTGGAAGATGTATGATCAATTCTTTTTTTTTTAACCTGAAAAAAATGACCTGATAAAGCAACTTTTGAAATTTCTATGAACTTGAAGTTAAAAGAACTCACTTTTCCTGTCTGGCTCCATCACTAATTATGGGTTCCTGGACAATCTAAAAATCTCTGAACCTCAGTTGACTTGGCTGCAGCATGACTTTCATGGGTGACATAGTTCCTCTCAGTCAATGTGCTTGAAAATGGAAAACAATAATCAAGGTTCCATTTGTGGGATCCTATATTGTACTGTCATCGTTTTTCCAATGAGATGAAGACCAGCAATCAAATATTATTTTCTGGTATATGCCAGGAAATGTCACGTACATGGGTTTAAGTGTGTGCATGCTATTTTGTTCAGTTTTCTTCCAGTCACTATGTGGGCATTTTTACACTTGGGTCCCCAAAGCAATCTGTACCCCTGAAAACCCATGTTTCTCAGTCACTGCCATGAAAAACTACGGTGCTATAGTTTTGCAATATTTTAGCTGCTTGTAAAGACATCAGCTCATTGTATCTGGCTATTAAGAAAGGCAAAACACAGATCCAATTCTTGATTCAAATTTAAGCTATTAAATTTAGATGTACATTTTAAAAGATAGTTTTTATAACATATAATGAAATGATTGAACTCACTGAAATAAGTAGATAACCAATAATATGCTCAGAATTACCACACGTTAATTGAATCCAGTATAAAAACTTACATGGTCATTGATGAGTTCCAATTTTTCTACTAGATCCCACAAACTGTTTTCATTATCCTTTATCAAGCTTTTTCCAGTTAGAAATTTCTAAATCCCTATTAGGTTCAAGAATACAACATTTCAAATAACATTTCCTAACCTTTCCTTAAGTTAATAATAGTTTTAAGACTTTAATAATTTCTTATGTAAAATTTCAAATCACTTTAAAAGTGAATTGAGAGTAAATTGAGAACCTGAGCAGTTAGGTTTTTACAAAGGAGAATGTTGATGTAGGTTTTACAATTCTGATCTGCTGCAGGGGTGTGATCATAATACCCAAGAACACTAAGATAAGATCTATTTGGCTAAGATAACGTATTTAATTAAACAGTTGATGACAGTTTAGTGCCACATTTATTCTTTGTAAGGTACCTAATAAAAAGTGCATTTGTCTTTTTCAGGGATGTGATGAGTTTAGGGATCACACTGGTTGGTCATCAAAAGAAAATCATGAGCAGCATTCAGACTATGAGAGCACAAATGCTACATTTACATGGAACTGGCATTCAAGTGTGATATGCATTTCTCCCTTTTAAGGGAGATTACAGACTGCAAGAGAACAGTACTGGCCTTCAGTATATGCATAGAATGCTGCTAGAAGACAAGTGATGTCCTGGGTCCTTCCAACAGTGAAGAGAAGATTTAAGAAGCACCTATAGACTTGAACTCCTAAGTGCCACCAGAATATATAAAAAGGGAATTTAGGATCCACCATCGGTGGCCAGGAAAATAGCAGTGACAATAAACAAAGTACTACCTGAAAAACATCCAAACACCTTGAGCTCTCTAACCTCCTTTTTGTCTTATAGACTTTTTAAAATGTACATAAAGAATTTAAGAAAGAATATATTTGTCAAATAAAATCATGATCTTATTGTTAAAATTAATGAAATATTTTCCTTAAATATGTGATTTCAGACTATTCCTTTTTAAAATCATTTGTGTTTATTCTTCATAAGGACTTTGTTTTAGAAAGCTGTTTATAGCTTTGGACCTTTTTAGTGTTAAATCTGTAACATTACTACACTGGGTACCTTTGAAAGAATCTCAAATTTCAAAAGAAATAGCATGATTGAAGATACATCTCTGTTAGAACATTGGTATCCTTTTTGTGCCATTTTATTCTGTTTAATCAGTGCTGTTTTGATATTGTTTGCTAATTGGCAGGTAGTCAAGAAAATGCAAGTTGCCAAGAGCTCTGATATTTTTTAAAAAGAATTTTTTTGTAAAGATCAGACAACACACTATCTTTTCAATGAAAAAAGCAATAATGATCCATACATACTATAAGGCACTTTTAACAGATTGTTTATAGAGTGATTTTACTAGAAAGAATTTAATAAACTCGAAGTTTAGGTTTATGAGTATATAAACAAATGAGGCACTTCATCTGAAGAATGTTGGTGAAGGCAAGTCTCTGAAAGCAGAACTATCCAGTGTTATCTAAAAATTAATCTGAGCACATCAAGATTTTTTCATTCTCGTGACATTAGGAAATTTAGGATAAATAGTTGACATATATTTTATATCCTCTTCTGTTGAATGCAGTCCAAACATGAAAGGAAATAATTGTTTTATATTATAACTCTGAAGCATGATAAAGGGGCAGTTCACAATTTTCACCATTTAAACACAAATTTGCTGCACAGAATATCACCATTGCAGTTCAAAACAAAACAAAACAAAAAGTCTTTTGTTTGTGAACACTGATGCAAGAAACTTGTTAAATGAAAGGACTCTTTACCCTAGAAGGAAGAGGTGAAGGATCTGGCTTGTTTTTAAAGCTTTATTTATTAAACCATATTATTTGATTACTGTGTTAGAATTTCATAAGCAATAATTAAATGTGTCTTTATAGATATTGCAGGAATGTATACATATTGTGATTAATGCTTTCAAAACTTATGAAAATCATGAACTACCCCAGAATTGAACTGTTGTACTTCCAAAGAGAATTGGGCTGTTTATAATGATTTTAATAGAGAAAGATCCCAGGGATCGGTCATAATTGGTCTTGTTTGATAATGTGGGCATCCACAAACAAACAAACAAATAACAGAAACAAAATCTGTAAATGTTCCTTTGTAAAACTTGTAAATTTTATTTATACTGTCTTGTTTTGTACACACATTTCTCTGTAGTGGGCTCTGAATACATTGAAAATGCACTATATTTTTCTATTTTACTTGCAGAGCATCACAAAAGAACAGGTATTTTCAGTGCTACATAATGTGTTTTCCCACATTTAGGACCAAAGACGGCTATAGAAAAACTCAAATGGATTGCTTCCCAAACCCCTCCCCACCCTTTTTTTTTGGTTTTAAATCACTGTACAGTGTTATTTGATATTTTAATTTATTTTTTGATTGACTAGAAAAATCATTTTAATTTCACTAAAATGTTTTTTGTCCCTAAGGAAAAGTAATCTGTAAAAATAATTTTAATTAGCATAATACAGTCACCTAGACACTTCCATTTGTAATCTTTGTAATAGACTGTAAATATATTTTTGGAACTATAACACAATGTGCTTGAGGGTTATTTTTCAGTGTCTGCAGTGTGTACAAGTGTTTATACTAAGTCCAGCACTTTACAATTCTAATCAGTAGCATTGGCCTTTGTGAGAATGAGTGAAAGAGTTTGAGTGAGTGTTCTTAATTCCTTTTGGATTCTAGACTCACTAATAATGAAGTTCTTTTCTTGTTCATAGCTTAAGGTGCTTATTTTTTCTATTAAAATTAAATTAACAAAAGCCATTCTAGAAATAGAAGACATAGTATGGTACATGCAAACGGTGTCTTTCCTGCTTTTTTCTAGCACTAGATTTATAGTTGAGTAGTCTTTCTTGAGTAGAAGGGCAGAATAAAAGTTTTTTTGAGTTTTTTTCAAAAATAAATTTTTCCTTCAGCAATATACCTCATCTGCCTTAAATTTTTTACAGCTCTTTACAGGGAAAGGGGAGAAGGGATGGGAAAGACACACAGCACAATAGGAAGTGTATGATTACATCACTATCTCGTTTGTAAGTTTCTTTTCCTAATCAACATTATGATTTCGAAATACATGTATGTGAAACAAATATTAAGAGAAAAAGAATTAACATTGTAATGCTGATTGTAATACTCTCTTCCAGAAAGAGATGAGATGGTATAACGATAAGAATGTACAACTTGCACCTTGAAATCTTTTTTTTTAAATAAATTAGTGCTCAGGGGAGGAAAAGTAGAGAAAGTGAACGTCAAAAATAGAATTCCAAAATTATAAAAATGCAAAAGGAAATGGCCTCCTTGCTTTAATAGAGCCACCTTTTTTAGAACACTGTCCTCACACTTGACCTGTGTTTTGCATTCAGTACTGAAATAAAAGTAACTTGTTCTACATTTGAATCTAACATTTTCTCAGCAATTGATCTGGTCCTTGTTTACTAGAACTGGTGGTTTATGCTTGTCAGAGCACTATTAGTTGAATCATATTGTATACTTATGTAATCTACATTAGCTAGTACTGTTTAGGACTATATTTTAATTGCTCTTCTTATCCGTGTTTTTAAGACAATTAAAATGGTGTGATTCACCTCTCTTTTTTATTTAGGTAATGCTGATATTCTCCCTTTTGTTTCTTGAGTAGCCTAGAACTATGCTACTCACTGATGTGCATGTTCAAATAAATTACTGATGTGTATTTTTTTGCTATATGTGGAGAAATCATGGGGAACTCGGGGCGAGATGTGCTTTTCGTTGGTTGAATTTGTCCCTCCTTGCCTAAGAAATACTACAGGGGTCATCCTTTTATAAGGACAAACTGCTTTTGAACAGTGTCTTCAATGTATCAAGCACAAATAACTCTTTCTTCAACATGAATCATAAGTCTCTTTTTACCAGCTTAAAATAATAAACAAGTCTATTAGACAATGTAAAGAAAATCCTGTCTCCAATCATTGGTGGATTCCTTTATATCCCTTACATGTTCTTTGTTTTCCTATACAATATTACAAGAAGAGATAAAGTTTTATTGAAATAGTTGAGTGGACCAATCAGAATACGAAGAAAAATGAATATCCATTACTTCCTTTTGTTCTCTTGCACACTAACCTAATTCCACTCTAATTATTACAGAATAACAAGATTATGTCTTCAAAGAGCCATACTGCCAAACAGTTATAATCTTTCTTGCTCCTTCCTGAAACTACTGCATGATACTAACAACAATATTTGCATGAGAGAGGAAATATTTTGTCGTTGGACGTTCACATATATTTTAAACATTTGATAAAATAAATGAACTTAGATTTTTTTTTCATTCAGGTTACTAGATCATGCAAACGTTAAATCCAAAACAAAAGGAAAAAGTGATAAATCTGGTTGAATGATTGAGTTGTTTGACATAGAAAGTGACTCAGTGACATTCTAACTTGCACCTGAAATGATGAATACTAAGCACTCCCTATTTTAAAACATCACCCTCTTAAATTCCCCCCAAAAATGAGAATAATAGGCAAATGTCAGATGAGGCGCTATTGCTAGCTATCATACTTGTAGTGATGAGGCTCATGCTACACTAAACTGAAATTCAAAGATAATCTTGATATCCTGGCCTGTCCCTGCCCATTTCTGATATACATATTAACAAAATGCTGCTCAAAGATGCAAGACATAAACCAACATTCTTCTTAATTTTATACAGTGATAATTATATATCCTGGAACACTGAGGGAGATCCCGGAAATTATAAAATTATCTCCAAAATATTAGATTTATAACTGGTACAAAAATACACTATCATAAGCCATTATTAAAATACACAAGTTCCATAACTAAATAAAAATTATATTTAAACATTTACGGTAATCATCAGTAACAATGTTTTCATTGAAGCACTTATCTCCTACTTTTACCCTTCGTTGTATATTGTTAGCTGCAATGAAAAGTCAATGTCAATTTTGAAGAAAGCTACTGAAAGAAACACACAAATCAAAGAGATTATCTAAATCCTAAATGCAAAAACTGTAACTCCAGATAGTAAAATGATAAAGATAACATGGTGACTGGCAAATTTTCAAGCTGTGGAGCAGCATCCTCTTGGCCTTGTGTTGGTGTCCCTGCAGTATCCCACACACTCCTACCAGCTGTTCTTACTCTTCTGTCTAGTGCATCTCAGCATAGCTTAAAGAATGTGGGCAGGAGAATAAAATATTTCAACAGGAATGCTTCTGCGAACTTCATTAGAGTTAAGTGCTGTAAGGGGGTGGATTTTTTTTCAAGTTCAATAATTGGATGTAATTAAATCTGTAATTAAAACAATAAAAGTCCTCTTCTGATTGACCTTGAGGTTAAAATAAATGTAATTAATTGATCCAATTTAATTGGACCTATTGCACAAAGTTTAGTAAGTAGTGATGCACTAGCCAACTATTTTGTAGATAGGTAACAGTAGTAGGAATTTCTAAATTTGATAATTTGGCAGCAATAACAAGTGAGGTGTTGTCTATTCTAAACCTCCATTAATGGCAAATAAAGCTCCATCGGATATAACCTGCACCTTGTATTTCATTAGTTTAAATGTCCTAGTTATCTACTGCTGAAGATTATTTTTATCTCCCTCTTGAAATTCAAATTAGGTATATTTGTAGATTTTATATATAACTAAAGAAGGTACAATATGTTTTTCAATGTGCAGTTAATCATAGATCTTACTTGAAGATGCTCAGAGGAAAAAAATGAGCAAATTTGTTTTAAGTAGCATGGTTTTAGTCTCACCATTTCACATAACTGAAACTAAATAAAATGAATGACTAGACAACAAACAATAGGAAAACGAATAGAAAATGTTAAGCTGCATATGCAGAACATGTTGAAATAAATCATAGGATTTTTAAAACTTCATAGAAATGAAGCAAACAATTTAAGAACACCTTTAAAATGTAACATGAATTTGCAGATGCTTATTACACTGATAGCACAGACTCCACAGCAAATTACAACAGAAATTTCTGAGTTTAACTTGATATTCTTCTGTCAATTTGCTAGAAATATGCACTATTTACATTAAAAAACAGACAGAATATGAGACTAAAATGTATTCCTCCCAGATGACAGACACCCATGCCTTTCTTCATTCCTAACATTTGCAAGAGTGTTTTCAGAGATCTGCTGGGCTGGAGATCTGCATTGTAATTCTTTGTTTTCACTTAGATCCTCACCAGTTACACACTGAGCTCCATATGAGTTCACCAGGACCCAACTTAACAGGAACTACAGGAACCTGACACTGAAAACAGTCATGCTTAGTTTTACCTGAGAAATGAATGTGGGTTAATGCTTGAGTTACTGCTATTATTGTGATGGCTTCTCTCATAATAAAGGAGTCCCTGTTCGGTTAGGTTAGTTGTGGAGCCAGCAGAACAAGGTGCAATTAAATATCTTCTACTCTGCTTACAAAACAAGACCCGCAAACATTAAATACAATCTTTCATATTTTGAAGAGGATTAAGTAATATTGTATAGAAATTTGTATAGAAAAGGCAGAGATGAATTACATCAAATCTTGAAAGTCAAGTAGGAGAAATTGAGTTTAATAGAAGAGGCACCACAAAGCTATCAGCAATTTTGGCCAGAAAAAAAGGATATGGTGGAGATGAAGGTTAAGGTAATGGTGTCTGAAATACAGATTAAGTTAACTACTGACTGTTTCTGGATCAGATCAATAGATTATACGCTCCTTGACTTATGAAGGGGTTACCTCCCCATAAACCTATTGTAAGTTGAAAATATTCTAAGTGGAAAGTGTATTTGATGCCAGCAACACAGCAGAGGGTCCCCAACTTAGTTTCTTCACTTAATATGGGGTTATCAGGACGTAGTCTCATCCTAAGTGGAGGAGCTCCTTAGAATTTAGGTAAATAAGAAGTAGTGGGCTTCTATAATTAGATTGACAATCTAATGTTTTGATTAAACTATGAGGTTATGGCCTCTACTGAATGCACAGTATGGCCTCTACTGAATGCACAGTATGGCCTCTACTGAATTTCACACCATGGTCAACTCCACAAATCATAAGTGAAACTATTCTAAATTGGAAACAGGCTATACTTCCATGTTCCCATTCTTTTGCTCTCCAGCTTCACATTCCCCCCCACATTTCTTTTTCCTTCTTTCAGTTTTTTGTTTGTTTGTTTGTTTGTTTGTTTGTTTCCTTAGAAAGAATCTCACTCTGTCGCCCAGGCTGGAGTACAGTGGTGCGATCTCAGCTCACTGCAACCTCCGCCTCCTGCGCTCAAGCAATTCTCTCGCCTCAGCCTCCTGAGTAGCTGGGATTACAGGCGTGTGCCACCACGCCCAGCTAATTTTTGTATTTTTAGTAGAGACAAGGTTTCACCATGTTGGCCAGGCTGCTCTCGAACTCCTGACCTCAGGTGATCCACCTGCCTCTGCCTCCCAAAATGCAGGGATTATAGGCATGAGCCACCGTGCCAGGCCTCCCTCCCACATTTCTAAATGAGAGAAATTCCCCTCTCCAAGATATAACTCAAAAGTTATTTCCTGCAAGTCTTCACTAACGCTAGGAACCCAGAATTAATTCTCTTTGGCGCTTTGCTTACACTGCTGCTGCTGCTATTATCTTACCTTGTTCTGTCAGATTATTTGTGTGTGTCTCTCCAACTAGATCAAGTGCTCTTGGAGGGCAGAAGCCAAATGGAAATCTTTGTTTTATGTCCTTAGGGACTTAGCAGTTTCTGGCACTCAGTAGACACTCTATAAATATTTTAGAATCCTTGAAGTGTAAATTAATTCAAATTGTTTTCTTCTTAAAAGGTAGCAAGAATCAGGTGCTCTGAAGGATGCACAAAGTGCAGGAAAGGTGGTAGGAAAACGGGTGTTGAGGGAGAAAACTAATTTCAGAGCATGGATGGATGCTTCTGTGATGGACTGGGGAAGCAGGAACGCCCTGAGGGGCTGAGAGGAGGAGCAGAGGTGTGAACCTGTGAGAGAAAGGAGGGTGGAATAAGCTGATTAGTAAACAAGACCAGGGTGTACCACATAGCAGCACCTTCCAGATCTTGAAAAAGAATAGGCGGCATCAATGGCTGCAAATAGTAAGGCCAGATCAAATAATTTGATATCAAGTGGAGGAAATTGGACTTGATGAGAGAAACAATGAAGGATTATTTACCAATATCTCATTTGATGAGGGAGACACATGGTAAGAAAGTTTTTGAAGAAACAGCAATATGCAAAGGTATGTGAAATGTGATTTTGACCACTTTAAAATTTAGACAAGATGAAGACAAATATTTTTTTCTTCCATAATGAAAAAAAAGCCCTCATTCTATCTCCCAAACTCAAGATATCAGTAATTCTATAGTTAAGTAAAAATATAATAAAACAGAATGTTGTTGGCCAGCCTGTAAGTCTACTTAGCATTTATATCATGAAAAAGGTAGCATCGGGTGGTGGGGTGATTGAAGAAGGTTTGAAGCCAGACGGTGTAGGATTTATTCTTATTACTACATTTGTAACACAGGGAAAATGATTTTATTTCTCCATATCCTTTCTCTTGTCTGTAAAATGGGCAAAAATACTACTTACTTTAAGAGTTGTTAAATTTGTTAATTGATACTCAGAAAGTATTTATAACAATATTGAGTGAGGAAATACATGTTAGCTCTTATTGCTTTGGGTAGTATTTTTGTCTGCATTTCTATCTCTTTAGCAAACATTTATAAATTCATTGCTGTGAATTCTGAACAACTAACTCACAAATGAATTTTAGAATTTAAATTATGTTTTTGTTCCAAACCTCTTCTTTATCCTTTATTCAGTTTTTGTTGTGTTGTGTTTTGTTTTGTTTCTTAATCATCATTAATCACATCTCTCAAATCAGTACACAGAGGGTCAAACTTCATTAATCTGGCCATAAACAATTGTTCCCCACATCCAGCTGATTTTGGCTCTTCAGTATCCCTTGAATCTATCACCATTCCACAGCCACTGACCTAAATTAGGTTTTCATCATCTCTCACCTAGATTAATGTCACATCCTCCGAATCTGTTTCTCTACCTCTATCTAATCCTTTTTACTTATGACTTCCTGAGTAAATTCTCTAACACATATCTGATCACGCTATTGCCTAGTTTAAAAGACTTTGGTGGCCACTCACAAATCAGAAAGTCACACTCAATTATGTAATATAGCATCAGCAATTGGGACCCTGCCCATGCATGATCTTCAACCCTTCTCCTCTCTTACCCATGCTTCTGCTGGACTGAACTACTGGTGTCTCCTGCAGCATAGTTCTTTTATATTTATTTGTAATTACGAGTTATCTGAAGGGGATAAGCAAATGTACTTTACTCTTTTTAGTATATACTGAGCTCAACACAGTGCCCAACGCAGAATTAACGGCTAGGATGGTTTCTATTCCTATCCCCTAATGCAAGAATATGTAATTACCACTAAAACAATTCTTATATTTGGAACATTCTACTGAACAAAAAAACGGTTAAATTTGAGGAAAAGCACACAATTCCTACTCAACATGTGCTGCTATAATTCTCAGTCTACCCTGATTCTCTGCTCCCAAAGCAGCAGCAGACACTCCTATCTGCCATGTATTTGGAAAGACGGCCAAAGAGGTGTGCATCTACTGTCTTTATACATTCAATGTGCTAATGATAAGAACCAAAATCTGTTCCTAGTAATTGCATTTATTGACATAATTTTAGTACCATTTAGGAGTAAATAGATCTTCATGTTTCCTACTTGCTTGTTTTATATAAAGAGTTAACTTTCCATTATATTATTGCAGAGAGTCTTTCTGCATGAGCTATGGCCATGGAGTTATTATAAGGAATCTTCAGTTTTATATGCTTACTTAGCACTGTGTATAGGCTGAATAAATACTGCTTTACACATGGTAGATACATAATCAATGATTTTGACTGAATAAACAATTATGTAGCTGCCTTTGAGGCTAAAACATATAATACATAAGTGCAACTGAAATGTAATATCTTTCACTTACTTAATACTATCTCAATTTTGACTATTAGTTATAACTATCATCATGCATAAATTCATATAAATTTGATATGAAAGAAGAATCTCCACAATTAGCCTAAATACAATCAAGACAGAAAAAGAAAGTTAAACGGTTTCAAAATTAGAGGACTTCAACAGTGGATGTGTTAGTCCTGGCTCAACCATTTACTGATTCCTTGACATTGCAGGAAACAATTTAACTATAAAACTCAGTTTCTTCATCCATCAGATTGGAGATACCTGTCTTGACTTATTTTTCTCCAGTGAATTTAAGAAAACTGCATGAAATTAGACAGCAGCACTTAAAATAATATAAAGCAAATTAAAAATAACATTAAGATGATTTTATCTCTTTGGAGAAAATATATCTTCGCAAAATGCCTTCTTATATGTTTCAGTTTAGCCTGATAAATCCCAGTATATGTATGTAAGAAAAGATATTGATGCTTCTTATTTGTAATGATTTTGGTATATTTTCTTGGTATCTAGGATGGTATTTTCTAACTTACTTGTGGCTTCTCAACCTTCATGACTTGGATGTTATGTAGTCCAAGAATTTCCCTCTAGCCACTGTTTTGCTTTTCCTTCAATGGCTTCCACTCAAGCACAGGCTCCGTGTTCAAGATTGTTCTTTGAGGCTTCTATAGCTTCTAGAGATCTTACACGTAATCTGCAAGGTCTCTTAATCCCATAAACACTAGAGTCATGTTCTCTATCCTTCGAACTTCATACCATTTATCTACCCTTACAGCCTACCTGGAGTTTCTTGGCCATGATGAATTCTGTGTGGTGGCCTCTAGGTTACAGGAGGTGGGTGTTACTCAGTACTTGTGTAAGCTGCCTGGATTTAACAACTGCATTTTCTGCATGAATAAGTGATGTTTGCTTATTTACTAGTGCTCCAGGGTATGGTAAATTTTGATTTCTCTATTTTAATCTTGTTTATATGCATATCTAATTATGCTTGTTTGGTTTAGCACTGCACAGATGTGTTAGGTAAGTTATTATCAGTGGTTTGCTCATCTTGAAACATCAGCCACAGGACTAGAGCAGAACAACTAGAGTTGAAGCAACGTGCCTGAGGTTTGGTCAATATTGTTTTTAGACTCCATATAATTTTAGAGATTTCTAACTTGGATGTAAATAATCACATCAGATTCAACCATGGCAGGTCTGTTCTGACCCTTCTCTCCAGGTCTCAGATGATTTGAATCATGTAAGGTGACTGATATTTTTGAGACTTTTCTTGTTACTCTGGATTTTCAGGTGGCTCACTGCATTTAAAAGAAAAAAGATTTTTTAATTTTAATGTATTTCACACAAATAGGAAAATGTATGCATATGCATAAATATCAATGCTTTGAAACTAACCATTTCAAAACTATTGCAACTGAATAAATAAGCATATAAATACTATTGACATTAAAGAAATACATTTCAGGGTTATTAAACTCTTTGACTTGCTTGGTAGTTCCTCCATCTTTGACAATAAAGTTGTAACTACTATTATGTGTAGATCCATATAATTTCTGACAATATATGGCATATTGTGTCTTGATTTGCATTTTGCTGGTTCCTAAAGAGCTTGCAATTCTGGTTCTTAAACATCTTCTCTTCATTTATCAAGTTATCGGAATCTTTTCTCAATTTAACTTTAGAAAATCTGTTGGCAAAAGCGAGGGTAGTCCTTGTTTTAATTTCAAAATTAGATGTCTAAAATTGTAGATGTGTTAGTCCTTGTTTTAACTTCAAAAGTAGACGTGTAAAATTGTTACCTTCATGGGATTCCAAGATATGACACTGAAGTCTCTTCTATTCTCAGTCAGATGGTGACAGTTTGAGCAAGCTAGACATTCACAAATACTTGAGCTTGTCTAGAGGGAAAGGTTAGTAATGTTTGTCTGTAAAGAAGGTGTGAAACTCTTTTGTTTCTACTTTCAAATCCCAGTTCACCAATTACTGGTGGTGTGACCTTAGACTAGTTAATCACATTTTTGCCTCGTTTTCTCGTTTGTAAAATGAGAATGGTAAATAGTATCCATTTCATAAGGTGCTGATAGAAATAAACTAATTAACATATGTAAAGCCTTGGAAGAGTGCCTGACTATAATTATTTTAATCATTAAGCTCTGTCACTAAAGATTCCTCAGTATTTGTAAGTTAAGAGGGCAGCAGCCTATCTAAAGATATGCTTCATTATAAGCATTCAAATAGAATCACTGTGAGCAACTTAAATGTCAAGCATTTTACTAGGCCTCAGAGTCCTATGATTATGGAGGAATAAATGAGAGAAAATGTAGGGAACCCAGAAAACAGCTTTTAGAGAACTTTTGAAAAAAGAAGGCTATGTACCTGAATATGCAGATTTCCAGAGCAAAGCATAGATTCTAGGAAAAGGGAAGAAAGCCTGCTTATGTACTATCTTGGTGCACAGATGTGAACTATGGATTTCTTAAATCCCCTACAACGACTGCACATTTATTAGAGTAAGACACATTTTGCTTAAGTGAAAACTTGACCACTCAATAAATGTGACTTTGAGGCTACCTCTCAAACATTTTGAATCTGTATCATCATCAGCCTAATTGGGCTAAAGTACCTCTTCAAACTGCTGCTTTAAGAAGAAAAAAAAAATAGATATAGCATACTCTCTACTAATAAAACAAAATGTTTACTTTCCTTGACCAAACGAAGGGATTGACAGGACACACAGAGGTATAGAGTACGCCTTTTCCTTGGTCTACCAGGATCTGTTTCCAAGGACAGAAATCCTCACAACAAAGACAAGTGTAGTAGTGACTATATCTTCACACTGTACACAGAAACCCCAGCTAGTCTCTTCTGTCCAAGGAAGCTGAAATTTTTTTCAGTCTATACCTACCCCAAAATGCCTTATTAGTAAGGAGCAGCCAGGGTATGATGCAGCCACTGTCCTTTATTATCAACACATCTAAGAAACAAAGCCTTCTGTCTCCACCAATGGCCTCCAAACCCAGAATATAATTTGAATGTCAAATTTCTTAAGATTTAATTTTAAAAATTAGCATCACTCAGAATTAACAGTAAGTTATTCTAAAACTTAGCTAACATTACAAATATACTAAATCTAAGTAGAAAAAAAAGTAAAAAAAAAAAGAAAAAAGAGATAAGAAGCCATTTAGTTGTTGAAGCAGGGGTAAAATTAGTAGAATAATCAAAAATGGGCTAAGAGTTGATGTAATACACCCCCCACAACACACATCTACAGGAAAAAGTTCATTAAATGGGGTGTTTGTGAACATATATGATGCCCTGGCATTTGTAATCATAATGCAATTCAATACCTCAGATAGTGTGAATGAGACAATAGTTTGTGTCTCAAACTCGGTGTAATTTAATAATGAAGATATATAAGCCAAAGAAAGAGAGATACCTAGTTACCATTTTTACAACTTAATTTATTCTTTTGCCCAAATGCCTTTTCCTTTCACTATCATGACCCATGAGAAACTAGTTTTTAGGAAAGTATACCAAGAATCTGCCTGTCTAAAACTGCACAGGTTTACAAAGCCCATTTCTTTCCTATTTTCTAAATAGTTATAGAGAGAATCTTGAAAATTATAGAAAAGCACAATCTTCCTCTACTTTATCTTCATATGCATTCCATATTGTGTCACTGGTAGGAAATAGTATCTTGCCTTCATGCATAGTTCAGCATATAAAAGATAACTATTTGAATAACTAAGCAAAAAGTTTAAGTAACAAAAAGCAAGTCAAGAAAGTATATATACCCCCATCCTTATGTGAGTGTTTTAAAATATGAGCCTGTAAACCTCTAGTTATTAAATAGATAACAGTCAGTCATTGAACTTAAAATCCTAGCCGAGTTAATGTACCAGGCAAAATCCACATTTGAAATATTGTGAAAGCTTAAAAGTTGTCCTTCAACTTCTGTTAGCTGGACTTCTCTGTTTTATTGAGGAATTTGAAACTAAGTGTTTTCATGACTTCTATATTGTAAAATTCCAATTCCAATTATGAGTTTCACCATATTCAGAAGTATTTTCACTGATTTTTCAAGACTTTACTGCTGGGTATTTTCTAATTTATTTCTTTCACTTGGAGGGCAGTAGGTGAGGCTTGCTTGAAATAATTGTTTTTTAAAACTTTTAGTGTCTTACCTACTTCTCAGATAAAGTCCCCACTAATTTACTTACAGGGATCTTAAAGAAAAAAAGCAAGAAAAGTTGGCCTTTAAATAAACAAAAATAATGACATAGCAAATAACTTAGTATTAAATAACCTAAGATCATCTTGAGAGAGGTACAATTTCCATCTTTACCTCAAAAAATTTTGATGGCACTATGAAGAATCACTTGCAAATTTCTTATCGGTCTGTACAAATAAATAGAAGCACGGTTGGTCAAAGTTCCTATGAGAACTAGCACTTTCTCACACCATCAGCAGATTGGAAATCGTTTGTCAAAAACCTTGAGAGACCTTGGAAGTTAAAACAAGAAATAATTTTACTTCAAAGAATTCTAAGTAGAATACCTTTCATATTTAGGTTTCAAAACAATGTTTCCTTTGCTTAATAAACTATAAGTTAAATATTTTATATGACTATCAATGTAGAACCTACTTTTCTTAGGAGCAATCTAAGACTACTCACTCTAATTATCTTGCCGGCCCTATAAATACTAGCACCCCACACCCTCTGTATTAGCCCTGATCACGTTGTTTACAAAGTTTGAAATCTTGCCAAATACTAGTATCCTTTTAATTATTATTATTATTTCCAACTTTCCTTTGTTATTACTTCTTCAAAAGCTAGATATCATTGAAAGCAGCCAACCACAAATGATTTCACCTAAACGTTTTCTTTAGTATAAAAATCTTTAGTTTGTGAATTGATATTATAAACAAGAAGAGAAAGAGCTGAGTCTAGGACTCAAATCTGCAACCTAACACTTATACTGATGAGTCTCAAATTTGATGCACGTTAGAATCAAATAAGGGCCTTCAAAAAATATGCATGTCTCGCTACCACAATGAGCATTGTGTTACAATTGGTCTGTGGTACAACCTGCACATTAGGATTTTTTAAAACTCAGGTGATTTTATTGTGTAGCAAAGTTTGGAAGCCATTGATTTGGACTATGGTTTACAGGCTTTAGGACAGAACTAAATAACACTCTTCCAGCTCTTTTCTCACTTAAAGAAAATTTTATAAATGATAATTGCTTGCAAATCTCTTTTCTACTCCCACTCCTCCTAACCTCAGGAAAAATGAAACAGTTGCCTCTGTCTCATATTTTTTATAAAACTGTAGACATGTCTACAATGAGGAAGTGTTTGAGAAAGACTCTTCATCTTGATTATGTTAATCTTCCTTAGTCAAGAAATGGGAAGTTGAGATCATCCCTCTGCATCAACAGAGACATGTTTATCATTGACATAAAATTGTTTTGGGGTAACCTGAATATATCCTTAGGCTTAGTAAAAGATTCATGTGGGTCACTTTATACTATGTAGAATACTAAAGGCTAAGACTTTTTTTACTTTTCCAAATGGTATTATTTCAGAATTCTAAGTGATTCTATATGAGCGCACCAATTTAACTCCTTAATAGTACTCATGATTTTGCTTCTTCATGGAAAGTATTTTTGACTATAGAGCTTCAGCAAGACTTATAAATAAATGGTGATTTTCTAACATACAGTAATAGCACTTTATAACATCTTTACAAGACAAAATATTTTAAAAAGTTATAAAGTTCAATTTTTATGGACAGTAGTGAGGTAAATAAATACGTTTAGGTCCATTTTACATGGGCTAAAAGTGAAACAAAAAATAGTTATTTCCAGAGACTTCATAGTACTGAAATTGGTTTTTTATAACATTCTAACATCTTAATGTTAGATGCTTTACATATATAATGTTAGATGTTTAAACGGTAGAATTATTCCTTGGATATATATAATCAATATTGTAGGCTTAATTTATTGAATGTATCAGGTGCTCTAGATCTTATCTGATTTCCTTCGTTTAACTAGTAATAACTAAACATTATTTTCAAATATATTTAAACGTGCAATAGTAAAAATAATGAGTTAATCTGTGTTAGTCATAATACTGTTATTGATAAACATAAACAGAATCACAACATTTTGCCAGGAATATGCTAAATCTGGTATGTGAATTATTTCAATTATGTACTCTAAAACTAAATAAGGTGAAGATTATTGTGAACTCAATTTCTAAATGTGGTAATAGAATTAGAGAAGGTAAATGATTTGCCCAGATTACACAAAGAATAAACTGGCATCCAGGATTCAAACCAAGGTAGATCATTTCCAGAATCCATATTTAATATATTGTAATGAAACTAACACCAGACCATGGCTGGGTATGTAACTTTTAAATATCTTGAAGAAAAGTTTTAAAACTTGTACTGGCCACTCTTTATTGGCCAATGAGATCTGTTATCCAGATATTTAGGAACATGAATGCATATTGATTTTATTTTATTGTTAACCAAATACTAGGTGTCACCACATGCAGTCTTACTTTTTATATGATTTGGGATGACAACTAACAAAATCCAAAATATTTTTAGAATAGACCCATAAACATTTTTCAGACTGAATACTCTATTGGAGTTAACTATCTGGATATGAATTAGTGAAGCTTTCTTTCTTAAAAATAATCTGAGCGTATGCATTAAATAGAAGGAGAATATTTATTGCCCATTTGCAGTATATACTTCATATCCCTTCTTTACCCTCTTATTATCTGAAAATCACACTAGTATTAGGGGCCAGGCTCTTTAGCACATCAAACTCAAATGGCATAACCCATAACTGCTTCCTTTGAAGGACATTCTTTAAATAATTAACCCAAGCAGCCTTGAGAGTTTTCTAGTAACTATATTGACAAGGTGATATGTGCTCTGATGTGTTAAGGCAATGCCTAAAACTCAGCAGTTCCTTTTGTAAATTATTGTCATTTCATAATTGCAGACAGAAATTGCATATTTTTAGATGAAATATCTAATAAGCTAACTGTCTATAAATTCTAAGAGGAGTTACCCTTTAAAAACAGTACACTACTTTTTGGTACAGATTGAAAAGCTGTATTAGGGCCGATCATAGTGGCTCATGCCTGTAATCTCAGCACTTTGGGAGGCTGAGGTGGGAGAATCTTTTGAGGCCAGAAGTTCAAGACTAGCCTGGCCAACATAGCAAGACCCTGTATCTACGAAAAAATTTAAAAAATTAGCCAAGCATAGTGGAGAGAAAGAAAGAAAAGAAAAGAAACCCATATCAGAACTATTGATGAACATAAACTGAATTACAGGGATAAGAACTATCCCACTATCTCCAATCCAGAGAGGATGCTAGGATAGTTAAGGGTGCAGGAAATACAAACATACATGAACAAATCCACACATTAGAAACACAAGAGTTATAAAGTCTTTTGATAAGAAAATAAAGAAATATATAAAGGTAATAGCTAAACTTAGATGGATATTTACTGATGACATTATTACATCATAGCCATCTGTAGAGGAGTTTAACTTCTAGACTCAATATATACCTTCTTTTTATATATCATGATATCTCTGTGAGGCAGATATTCGCAGTCCACAGATGAGAAAGCCAAGTTCTAGAGCAGTTGAGTACAAGGTCACACATCCTTAGTGGCTATATTTGACTCTGAAGCACCACACTCTTACCTGCATACCACATTAACTAAATTGTTTGCTTATTTCTGCCTTCCTGGTTCTAAATGTTCTCGCATCTGAGCAGGAGAGAAATACAAGTATATATTTCTAGAATCTTCTCATAAAGCTTCCCAGAACCATAAAATGTGAATGTCTTACATTATCCATTAAAGAGCTAAAAATACAAAATGTGTAGATGAAGAAATACTTGTATTCAATATGATTTTTATTTCAGGTTTTTCTAGTGACAAGTTTAATTTTTTAAAATAGCTTCCAATCAAAAAAAAAAATAAAGGGATGTTATTAGTATAATGCAGTTCTCCAATTTAAAAAAAATAGTTTTAAGATATTGAAAGAAATACATCAGTAAAATTTAATAGACAATACTTAAAAATTTGGAATAGTGAATAATCAATTTAAAAAAACTATCTTCTCAACATGTGCTATAAAAATCTCCTAAATCTAGTTTTCAGGTGCTGGGAGCCATGACACTTTATGCTGTTTATAAAAAAGAGTATAAATGGCATAAAATATGAGGAAAACTCCATGCAACTTAAAAAAAAAATGTTGGAGAATAGAAAAACTATAGTAATTTTGCAGTCCTGAATTACATACACCTAAAATTTATTTTATTAGTGTCCTAAAGTTGCACTGTAATACCTGGGTCTGTAAGGTTATCTGATAATGATTCAAGCCCGCAGTCAGAAACACGTGGTTCTGAAGCTGTGGCTCCACCTCTCTATCTCCACCCTGCAGGCTTGTCACACCTCTAAGTTCTCACTGCTAGTCTTTTTTTTTTTAATTTTATTATTATTAGACTTTAAGTTCTGGGGTACATGTGCACAACGTGCAGGTTTGTTACATATGTATACATGTGCCATGTTGGTGTGCTGCACCCATTAACTCGTCATTTACATTAGGTATATCTCCTAATGCTATCCCTCCCCCCTCCCTCCACCCCACGACAGGCGCCAGTGTGTAATGTTCCCCTTCTTGTGTCCATGTGTTCTCATTGTTCAATTCCCACCTATGAGTGAGAACATGCAGTGTTTGGTTTCTTGTCCTTGCAATAGTTTGCTGAGAATAATGGTTTCCAGCTTCATCCATGTCCCTACAAAGGACATGAACTCATCATTTTTTATGGCTGCATAGTATTCCATGGTGTATATGTGCCATATGTTCTTAATCCAGTCTATCATTGTTGGACATTTGGGTTGGTTCCAAGTCTTTGCTATTGTGAATAGTGCCACAATAAACATACGTGTGCATGTGTCTTTATAGCAGCATGGTTTATAATCCTTTGTGTATATACCCAGTAATGGGATGGCTGGGTCAAATGTTATTTCTAGTTCTAGATCCCTGAGGAATCGCCACACTGACTTCCACAATTGTTGAACTAGTTTACAGTCCCACCAACAGTGTAAAAGTGTTCCTGTTTCTCCACATCCTCTTCAGCACCTGTTGTTTCCTGACATTTTAATGATCGCCATTCTAAGTGGTGTGAGATGGTATCTCATTGTGGTTTTGATTTGCGTTTCTCTGATGGCCAGTGATGGGTAGGAAGAATCAATATCGTGAAAATGGCCATACTGCCCAAGGCAATTTATAGATTCAATGCCATCCCCATCAAGCTACCAATGACTTTCTTCACAGAATTGGAAAAAACTACTTTAAAGTTCATATGGAACCAAAAAAGAGCCTGCGTTGCCAAGTCAATCTTAAGCCAAAAGAACAAAGCTGGAGGCATCACGCTACCCGACTTCAAATTATACTACAAGGCTACAGTAACCAAAACAGCATGGTGCTGCTACCAAAACAGAGATATAGACCAATGGAACAGAACAGAGCCCTCAGAAATAATGCCACATATCTACAACTATCTGATCTTTGACAAACCTGACAAAAACAAGAAATGGGGAAAGGATTCCCTATTTAATAAATGGTGCTGGGAAAACTGGCTAGCCATATGTAGAAAGCTGAAACTGGATCCCTTCCTTACACTTTATACAAAAATTAATTCAAGATGGATTAAAGACTTAAATGTTAGACCTAAAACCATAAAAACCCTAGAAGAAAACCTAGGCAATACCATTCAGGGCATAGGCATGGGCAAGGACTTCATGTCTAAAACACCAAAAGCAATGGCAACAAAAGCCAAAATTGACAAATGGGATCTAACTAAACTAAAGAGCTCCTGCACAGCAAAAGAAACTACCATCAGAGTGAACAGGCTACCTACAAAATGGGAGAAAATTGTTGCAATCTACTCATCTGACAAAGGGCTAATATCCAGAATCTACAATGAACTCAAACAAATTTACAAGAAAAAAACAAACAACCCCATCAAAAAGTGGGCGAAGGATATGAACAGACACTTCTCAAAAGAAGACATTTACGCAGCCAAAAAACACATGAAAAAACCACTGCTAGTCTTTAAAGAAACTGATTACTTAATTCAAGACTTTTGTGGATAATTTAAGGAATTGCTTAGGGGCAAAATGAATAAATAACACTAACAAAAGAGACTTTGTTTTTAATCTTATCTCAGTACCCAAATCAGGAATGTGGTGACCTCTGAGGCTAGTTTCCTCATTGTCAAGTGAAGACCTTGAATTTGGTCAGTAGATTTCAAATTCTAGTGGGCATCACAATCACCAGAAGGGCTTGTTAAAGCACAGACTGCTAGACTTCACACCCAGAGCTTCTGCTTCACTGGGTTTGAGGCTGGGTGGAGGAATTTATATGTCTAACAGGTTCCCAAGTGATGCTATGTTGCTTGTAGGGACTACACTTTGAGAACCACTAAATTAGATGATCTCTATGTTTGCTAATATATCTAACATTCCAATTTTTTCTACATGAAGATTTCAAAATATTTCCCCAATTTTTCCTCCAACAATATGTCTAATAACTGACATTTTTACATTTGTATTGCACAAATAATAGTATCAACATATCATATTCACAAAGTCTAAAAACCCTAAGAGAGAACCTTCAGTCTTTTCCAACACCTTGTTAGAAGAATGAAACTGATACCTAATCTATTGTTTTGTGTCTAATGTCCTTGTTATTAACATTAACAGAAATGCAGACTGAGAAATTAAATAACTTCCACAAAAACTTGCTAGTGAAAAAACCCCAAGTTTAACTTAAGTTCTTTCTTCCAGGGTAACTAAACTATGCCTTAGTTCAATCTTGCTTTAGAGATGTGTTTGATATTATATCTTCTACTGAGGAAGGATTTTGAAATTATTTTGGTATCGCTTTATGCTCTAGACACGAGTAGATTCAAATCTGAATCAACACAACAATCTCAAGGTGCAATTTTTCTGGGTAATAGTGTGAACACAATGATACCAACAGTCAGAATAATTATCATCACACTACAGCATAGTAGTTTGAATGTGTATCTGATGTGTCAGCTTTGATGTGAATTCTGGGTATACATATCGGTTCCATAGTGCTTTTTTTTCCTTTCAAACAGACAAGTTCAACAAGAGCTCTTTAGCAGTCATGAGACTGGGGCAAGGTTATATAGTAGCCTGATATCTCAGGCACTCTCCTGTCACACAGCTCTTACTGCTATACTTAGCAAGTAATTGTCAGCAAAGAGCCAGAGGAGGAATCCAAGGGCAGACTTACATATAAGAGGGTTATTCTCTCATAACAGCTATGGGCTCAGTTTGCTGTGGTCAGTTTCCTCATGGCAGATTCAAATTTATCTTTCCACACATACAGGATATGAAAATATTACGTCCCTTTTCCCCACTTTTATATTAATCTGTACCAACTATCAATGCCTGAATTCAGACCATGTCTTCCTTATATGGGGAACAAAAACACTTTCTCATCAAGGCAAGAGTGTTTTTTTGTTTTTGTTTTCCTAATCTCATGAGGCAGGTGTGACACTTCCGCTGATCTGGTCTTAACAAGCTGTGTTGGCCAAGCCAGCAGGGTGGGGTGGTAAACTATGCTACCCTCCTAGGAAGTCAGACAGTTAAGAAAGCCTTGTTCATGTGACCATAGTCTTTATGTTCTTCTGCTTGATTAGGCATTCCAGTACTCTAGTCTTGCTCCTGAGTACCGGTTTGGGCTCTGATTCTTATGGTTCAGTATCACAGTTTTTTGCATCTGGCCTTTGACATTAAATTGTCTAATTCTAGGCAGTTAGTGAAATTCCTTATTATAAACAATGGTATCACAAATAATGAAAAGACATAAGTAAGAATTGTTTAATTTCTGGTGAATTTCAGATACTAGGATTGAGTTTGGCAGACTCATAGGTATTTAAATGTCTCTCGGTTACCAACAGTTTTGACCTCTCTACAGTGGTACAAGTAGCAAAGAGTAGCAGGAGTAATGACAGTTCTGTTCTTGTTCAGTGTCCATTTTATGTTCCCATTAAATTATCATCACATGAGAAAAAATGCTGTAAGGCTTGATTGTAAAGATTACCATAGAGCAAATTTATACTAAACAATAGAGAATCAGAAGAGTGGATCTTCTAATTTTAAACATTTTGCAGATTCCTCTTAATGTCTATACTAGTTTCGGAAGTGCGATACATTCTAGTCAATCATATATATCAAAATGTAAATCTAGTCATATGTGTGCATGTGTTTTTATGATTTTTACTGTCATAGGAAGAAACCCATATCTGAAAAATTTGCTGTCCCATATTCTTGTGAATATTCTTAGACTTAATTTAAGATGGTATGGACATTCACTCTACAACTGCAAATAATGTGTATGATTCAAGCTCAAAAGGTAAGACATTGAGTTCACAGGCACAGGTGTACATGTGGCTCATTATGTAGAGTCTTCGCTTGAGCAGCCTTTCACAGGGAGATGGCAGTGAGTGTAGGCATGGTGGCTCAGAATATACCTAGGCCTGGGACAGAGAAAGACAAAAGCCATAGCAAGAGAAACCCAGTTTTAGCATGCTCCACCTTTTGTCCACAAATGGTCCAATTTCCCTAGTGAGGAACACTTGGTGATATCCTGCCATGTTAAATATTTGTCAGTTGCCTACCCACTGTTCAATTGCCTTATCCACTTGGCTAAACTACTCTCACTTTCAGACAAGTAGCCACCCCTGCAGTGCATGTGCTTTAAGTTGGCATCTAAGAATAAGGCTCTATTTATTTACACTTTTAGATTTAATTTTGTTATTTGAAACTTAGGTACACAGATTTGGATTATTCATGATCTTTGGCTTTTGAAGTACTTATTTTATTGGTCCAGGCATGGCCCACTTGTATATAATTACTTAAATAGTTTAGTTTAGTTTTTTATTTTTCAACTTTTATTTTAGGTTCGGGGGCACATGTGCTTATTTATTACATAGGTAAATTGCATGTTTCTCGGTTTTGGGGTGTGATTTTGTCACTTAGGTAGTGGGCATAGTAGCCAATAGGAAGTCTTTCAACCCTTATCCTCCTCCCACCCTCCACCCTCAGGAAGGCCCCTGAGGCCTCTTGTTCTCCTTTTGTGTCCACATGTACTCAATGTTTAGCTTCCACTTGCAAGTGAGAATATGCAGCATCCAGTTTTCTGTTCCTGCATTAGTTAACTCAGGATAATGGCCTCCAGCTTCTCCATGTTGCTGTAATCAAATTACGAGGTATATACTCAGTTTAATACCATACTAAGAACCCATGAACCAAGCATCTCAAAGCCTAACTGAATCTGATATTATGTTGGTCATTATTATTCATATGGTTTTGCCAAAGGTCAAATAGATATAGGCATTACATCCTGCCCACCTGATAAAATATGTGATAGTGGACAAATAGTTTTTGTTTTCTCATTGCTCACAGCCCCTCCTTTGGGTAACTGATCACTGTTCATACTGTGATTGTGCTAGTCTACCAATTCAAAAACTCCATGCAACTAGCCACAGGGATGGGTACGTGGCCCCTGCCTGAGCAATCATGGCAAACCACCTACCTGGCTACTGTGAGTGAACTGTAAGTAGAACTTTCCGGACCATTGTAACAGCTGTGGCTTTTATTTTGAGCGAGATAGTGAGGCACTAGAGGGTTGAACAGAGAAGTGTGGTCCGATGTACTGTGTTTTCGGGCTACTCAGCTGCTCTTTGGAGAAGAGAATCAAGGAGATGAGCAAGTCAAGAATTTTGTGAGGAAAGGATCCAAGCACAGTCTGACACCTCCAGTGTGTTTTTTAACAACCTTGTGCTCTGTGCAGAACATGCTGGCAAGCAAAGAAATTGCATTATGTGCAACAAACTCACAGCACAGCCAGTATGTCTCTGTTCCCTCTGTAGAGTGCACATGCAAAACTTCCTTGGAACTTGTTAGCCAGTGGCTCTCACACATGCCCCCAACTTTCTGTATTCCCCACCCTGCAAGGCAAGGGGTGGGGCCCTTTTTCTGCTGCATGAAGTAGGGTGCATTCAGCCACACTGCCATGTCAGCTGGAAATTGATCCACTAGCCATGCAGAGCCAACTCATTGCAAGGGGCTGGGTTGTGCGTGCTCTTTTCTCTTGCTGTGAGTAAACACTGCACCACTTCAGCCTAGTGTATGTGTTTTCTGCTCTCAGCAACCTCAAAGCATGCACTTATCTGGGTACTGCTTACCTGACTTTTGACATTGGTCTCACTCTTGTTACATCCTATACTGCAGGGCAATGAAACAAGTATCATCTAGGAGGGAGATGAAGTAGATTGAAGTAGGTTGTAATAGTGGATTTGGTGAGAAGAATTAGATTATAGATACATGCTGAAGGTAGAGACAACATAATTTATACTGATTGGAAATAGATTGTGAGTTAAAGAGGCAGAACAGTAAACAGTGTTTGAGGTCAGGACTGAACAACTGGAAAAAAAGAAAGTCTCCATTAACAGATGGCGAAAACTGAACTGGAAGAGGCATCAGTTTGGAGCTAGGTAGAAATCAATTTCTATTAGGAGAATACAACTTTGCAGGGGCTAGTAGATATCCATATGAAGGTGACAAGAAATAGTTTGATAAGTGGACCTGGAGTTTAGGGAAGAGGCTGAGGCTAGAATTTAAGTTTGGAAGGTATCAGCACATAGATGACAAGTAAAGCCCGGAAACTGAATGAGATAATCAGGAATGAGTGCAGACAGAGACATGGGCTAGACAATCCAGGGACACTACAGGGTGCAGGTAGAGGAAGGGGAGCCACCACTGTAGAGCAAAGAGGGACAGCTCCTGAGGGTAGGAAGAAAGCCAGAAGAGAGTGTTGTTCTAGAAGATGGAAAAAGGGGGGTGTTTCTATAGGAAGGAGGGATCAACTCTGTCAAACGTCACTTATGAGTCAAATAAGATGAGGATTGGGAATAAATCAATGGACCCTTGACAGCACCAGCTCTTGCAGAATAGTGAGGTGAAATATTTATTGGAGTAGGTTCAAAAAAGAATGGGAAGAGACAAATTGGAGATAGTGAGTACTGATGTTAGGTTTTGTCCTTGAGAGTTATATTTTACTCTTTTGAAAAGATTTACTTGCTATTCGACATTTTACTAAATGTAAAATGTACATGGCAATTAATTTAATAAATTCCTTCCTAACATCTAATGAAACATCTGTGTCTTTTTGTCCCCTGCAATGATTGAGATGTATGGCATGCAATAAAATTATTAATAATGTTATCCTTTTGAATGAGAATCTACTCTTCGATTCACACCATTAAATAACCTTCTTATCTGTGAGCCAAAATGTCAGCCAATACGTTGGACTGGGTCCTAAGAATATTGGTGGGTAAGAAGAACATTCCTTGGCTGGTTTATTTTTCTTTGGTATTAGTGCTTACTTGGCTCATCTCAACGTCTGTAGAAATTGCTTTTCACCCAGGAATTTGCAAATAATTTAGCTGGAACATTTCTAACCATATGTATATATTTTTTTTTATTAAATCCTGGCCAGATTCCATCAGTTCTGGAGCTGTATTGTTTTACAGATTTCATGACTGGTTTGTCTCATAAAGTAGAACAAAATCTAATCTTTTTTGTTGTTTCTGGGTATCAGTTTCATTTGGCAATGCTAGTATTTCAATAGCATCTACAAGATGTCTGATGTTGGGTCATGGCTGAGAATGAGCCATTATTGAGCATTTTTGGTAACACACATTCGTTAGCACAAGTCCAATGTATCACCAGACAGACAAACAAAGGTTGGCTATTTATTCTGAGCAATGTGTCCCTAGAAATCTACTTGGTTTTAACTTTAGTACAAGCAGATGGATTTCAATAACATACACAAAACAAACCCTGCAATTTGGGAAAGAATATTTACTTTTTTCCCGAAACTGTTCCATTTAAGCTTTGAATTTTTCACATACAGTAATTACAGCAGGAGAAAAATTTATGATAACATAGGTTACAAGAATTTTAACAGAGACATTTTAAAATATAAATATCTAGTGATATCAAGCTATATGATAACTTCATTATATATTTCTGAGATTTTTAGATGCATACATAGATAATTTAAATATATATATTATTACCACAGCATAATGATTTCTAAATATCAGATTTTAAATATCTATATTTAAAACTACTATGACTACTGTTAACATCTCTATGTGTACAAACTAGAACACCTAAAAGAAATGAATAGATTCCTAGAAACATACAACCTCCCAAGTTTGAGGCAGGAAGAAATAGATTATGGAAAGACCAATACCAAGTAATTATATTGAATCAATAATTTAAAAACTCCGAACAACAACAAAAAAGCCCAGGACAAGGCGGATTTACAACTGAATTTTACCAGATGTACAAAGAACAGCTGATACCAATCTTACTAAAACTATTCCAAAAAGTCAAGGAAGAGGGATTCCTCCCTAACTCATTCTATGAAACCAGTATCACTCTTACACAAAATCAGTCGAAGACAAAACAAAAGAAGAAAACTACAGGTCAATATCCCTGATGAGCAAAATGCAAAAATCCTCAACAAAATACTGGCAAACCGAATCCAACAGCACATCAAAAAGATAATACATCACCATCAAGATCGAGTGGGTTTTATTCCAGGGATGCAAGGATAGTTCAACATATGCAAATCAATACATATGGTTCACCACACAAACAAAATGAAAAACAAAAACCATATGACTATCTTAATAGATGCAGAATAAGCATTAGATATAATTCAGCATCCCTTCCTGATGAAAACCCTCAACAAACCAGGCACTGAAGAAACATATCCTCATATAACAAACCCATAGCCAACATTATAATGAATGAAAACAAGTTGAAAGCATTCCTCCTAAGATCTACAACAAGACAAGGATGCCCACTCTTACCAATCCTATTCAACATAGAACTGTAAGTCCTAGCCAGAGCAATTAGAGAAGAGAAATAAATAAAAAGCATCCATATTGGAAAAAAGGAAGTTAAATTATCTCTGTTTTCTGATGACATAATATGATACCTAGAAAATCCTGAAGACTCCGGCAAAAGACTTTTAGAATTGATCGACGACTTCAGTAAAGTTGCAGGAGACAAATCAATGTACTAAAATCAGCATTTCTATACACCAATAACATTCAAGCTGAAAACCAAGACAAGAGCACAGTCACATTTACAATAGCTACAAAAAAAAACAACTATGAATACACATAAAGGTCTCTACAAGGAGAACTACATAACCCTGATGAAAGAAACGAATGGAAAAAACATCCCAGGCTCACGAATTGGGAAAATCATTATCACTAAAATTTTATACTGCCCAAAAACAATCTACAGATTCAATGCAATTCCTGTCAAATTACCAATGTCATTTTTCACAGAATTAGAAAAACAATCCTAAAATTCATAGGAAACCAAAATTGAGCCCAAATAGCCAAAAAAAAGAAGAAAGCTGGAAGCATCACATTAATTGGCTTTAAATTATACTACAAGGGTATAGTAAGCAAAACAGCATGACACTGATACAGAAATAGACACATAGATTAATGAACATGATAGAGAGCCCAGAAATAAAGCCACACACCTACAACCACCTGGTCTTTGACCCAGTCAACAAAAATAAACAATGGGGAAAGGACACTCTGTTCAATAAATGGTGCTGGGAAAATTGGACAGCCATATGCAGAAAAATGAAGCTGGGCCTCTATCTCTCACCATATACAAAAACTAACTCAAAATGAATTAAAAATTTAAATGTAAGACCTGAAACTATAAAAGTCATTTTAAAAGTCTAGGAAAGCCTAGGGAAAACTCAACTGGACTTTGGCCTCAGCAAAGAATTTGCATATAAGACCTTAAAAGCAAACGCACAAAAACAAAAATAGACAAATGGGACTTAATTAAACTAAAAGGTTCTGCACAGCAAAAAGAAATAATCAACAGAGTAAACAAACAACCTACAGAAGGAGAAAAAACTATTTCCAAACTGTGCATCTGGCAAAGAAATAATATCCAGAGTCTACAAGAAACTCAAACAACTGCACAAGAAAAAGCACAAATAATACCATTAAAAAGTGGACAAAGGATGTGAGCAGACATTTCTCAAAAGAAGATACACAAATGATCAACACACATAGAAAAAAATGCTCAACATCAGCAATCATCAGAGAAATGCAAATTAAGACCACAATAAGATACCATTTTACACCAGTCAGAATAGCTATCATTAAAAAGTCTAAAAACAACAGATGTTGGGAAGGACTTGAAGGGAAGCACTTATTCACTGTTTTTGAAAATGTAAATAAGTACAACCTCTATGGAAAACAGTATGGAGATTTCTCAAAAAACTAAAAATATAATTACTGTTTGACTCAGCAATCGCGTTACTGTGTACCTTCCCAAATGAACAGAAGTCGTCATGTAAAAAAGACATCTGCACTTGCATGTTTATTTCAGTACTGTTCGCAATAGCAAAGTCATGGGATTAACCTAAGTGCCTATCAGTGGATGACTGGATTGAAAAAAAATGTGGTATATATACACCATGGAATACCATGCAGCCATGAAAAAGAATGAAGTCATGTCTTTTACAGCAAGATGATTGGAGCTGGGGGGCGTTAATCTAAGTGAAATAACTCAGAAAATTTAATACTGCATGTTTTCACTTATAAGTGAGAGCTAAACGGTGGGTACAGATGGACATAATGATGGAAATAATCAACACTGGGACTCCAAAAATAATCAACACTGGGAGAGTATGGGAGGGTGGGTATGATTGAAAAATTACCTATTGGGTATAATGTTCACTATTTGAGTGTTGAGTACACTAGAAGCCCAAATCTCACAATTATGCAATATATTCATGTAATATATGTGCACATGGAACCCCTGAATCTATTTTTTTAAAAACTAAAAAAAAAATCTTTTAACACACATCCACAATATATGTTCATTTATTTATTTATAAAGTGGGACATATGAAACATATACAAATGTGTGCAGTTTAAGGAATGATCTGAAGATGAAATAATTAGTTTCTCTTTGTCATGGCTTCATACTGCTACTATCTAGTTTCTCAAGATATAATATACCCTTAAAAATAGGCTTAGCATGTCAATGATGAATGAAGTTTTATATTTCAAGTAATCTATTTATTTATTAATTTTGGGCGGAACAACTTTTACTCAAATTGTCTCTTCTTTTTTTTCTTTTTAGACAGGGTCTTGTTATGTTGCCCAGGTTGGTCTTAAACTCCTGGGCTCAAGCAATTATCTTGCCTCCGTTTCCTGAGTAGCTACAATGATAGAAGCAGCTACAGAAGCTAATATGTATCAGAGGCTTCTTATATATTATTAATATTTGCTCTAAGAATAATTTGCCTAGCTAAGTTGCTATTATTTTTATGTCTTAACATGCTTGGGAAGAGCTCTGTTCTAGGTGAAAGACGCTGCTTCAGGACTTGGAGATTCAAAGTCGCTGGCTTCATGAAGCTTACATTCTATTAGGGGATATAGATGAAGCAATACACAAATGTCATCTTGAATGCAGTAAGTTCAAGGAAGAAACATCCAGCAATATAAAGAGAAAGAGCTATTTGAGATGGAGTATCCACGGAAGACCTCTGAAAGGTGACATTGGAGCAAAGACCAGAGCAAAGTGAGGGACAAAGACTTGTGAAAGTTTGACAAGGAGTATCCCGGGCAGGCAGTTGGTTTGTTTGTTGCCTGTCTGGCTCCCTCAGAATATAAGCACCACAAATTCAGGAAGCTTCAGTTATCATGCTAACTGCAGGTATCACAGTATACAGTGCCTGGTACGGAGTGAAAATTCCATAAGTATTGGATTAAATCAGTTTTCAAAATATTTATCTTTTGAAAAATTAGTTTGGTGATAAGTTAGGGATGAATTATAAAAATGCAGCATACAAATATCTTTTAATACTAAATCTGCCATAATTTTTTTCTAAACAATGATATGAAAACAAGTCCAACAAGTGTTATTAAGGAGTGGAAAATATGCAGGGAAATTTTAAGTGGAATGTTGATTATTAAATTTACAAGGAAACAAAAGTAGAGAGCCAAACAAACAAAAGAAAAAGGAAGTCACTCCATAAAAATTTAGTTTCTATGGAAACCCAAGTTTCAGCTCTTAAACATTTTCCAGGGACTAACTATGCTGTTTGGGCTGTGTGGGAAGCAGATGCTGGGATGGAGTTAGGAGTTCAAGAGTTTTATTGGATGGTAACACCTGTAAACAATGAAAGGAGAAGGAAGCAAGGCAGGAAAGAAAAAAAAAATCTTTAGGCCTCAATGCAATGCAGCACTGACAGATGTAAAGGGAAGGCAGAGCTAGGGACAGAGGAGAGGAGAAGCAGGATTAGGCAGCAAGTGCCTCAGGCTGAGTTGCAGATCTCAAAATGTCTCCACCAACTCAACAGGGAGCTCCAGAGCAAAGATTGCCCTTAGAGGAGGCCCACGTTGGTTAGAAATGGCCAGGCCCTTGGACTCCCACCATGATCAGTCATTTGCTGGGGTCTGCCAGAGTGAAGCAGAGGCAAATGATGCAGCACTAATACCCGCAGGCTGTCAGCTAACTGTGCTTCTTGCAGCCTGACAGCAAGCTCTTCCTTGAAGGAAGATCAGAGAGGTGCACCTCCATGCATGACACACTCACAGAAGAGGAAACACCTGTGGTGTCAAACTGGATGGCCTTCCAGGGGACTCACATTAGAGGTCTCACCTCCACCCTTCTTGTTGTTCTCTCTGGTGCTGGTGTTAAGAGTTTTATCAACAACCAGACTCTTTTGTAAAAAAAAAAAAAAATTTAAGGTCTCCTATCTACTTTGTGAGTCTTGATTTTGTTAATAGTAGATTGTATAAGTCAAAAATCCATGTCATTGGCCACAGGTAAACTGCAAACACTGTAAACTGCTAAAAGCAAATGGAGCAGTTGAAGGTGCAACATCCTACCTCCTGCCCTTTTCTCAAATTCCTTGTAGACTCTTCACGACACATGGTTGTCCTGCACTAGTGCAGTAAAGTTGCCGGTTCAAGTCTCTGTTAATATTAGCAGAATTTTTTTTTCAATGTTTTGTCTTATTTATTAAGACACACACATATGGAACTGGAAATGCCAACATTTCCTCCATTGTCTGTTTGTGGAATGGTAGTAGTCTGTGACATGTAATGAGGAGATGCATAAGAGCAAAGGCAGGTCTGCAGGCTTTTTTTTTTTTTTTTTGAGACAGAGTTTCACTCGTGTTGCCCAGGCTGGAGTGCAATGGCGCGATCTCGGCTCACCGCAACCTCTGCCTCCCGGGTTCAAGCGATTCTTCTGCCTCAGCCTCCCGAGTAGCTGGGATTACAGGCATGTGCCACCACGCCCGGCTAATTTTGTATTTTTAGTAGAGACAAGGTTTCTCCATGTTGGTCAGGCTGGTCTCAAACTACCGACCTCAGGTGATCCGCCTGCCTCGGCCTCCCAAAGTGCTGGGATTGCAGTTGTGAGCCACCGTGCCCGGCTTCTGCAGGCCTTCTGAAGGCACTATTCTGTGAGGGATTTTGCTCACTGCATCTGCCAACTGCTGATATCAGGCAAAATACATGCAATTCTGGTAGCACTACCTTTAGTTCTAGCTCAAATGGCTCTTAAGATGGCAACTTAACTACCATTTATTGAAGGGGCTTAATACATATCAGAGGCTTTTTGTATATTATGATTATCAGTTGCTTTAAGAATAGTAAGATTATTTCCTCCATTTTGTAGATGGTAAATCTGAGACATAAAAGGAGATTAAATATCTTGCTCATATTCACACAGCTATCATTTGACAGAGTTGAGATTCAAATCCAGGTCTGATTCCAGATTTCATATTCAAACATGTTCTAATTATTTCTCACAATGAGAACTTTAACAGCTTGCTAAAATATTGTTACAAAAAATAGAAAGAAGAGTCTCACTTGTTTATATACAGGATATGAGAATGTACACATTAATTTTTGTTTAGTAACTTTTTTTCTATCTCAATATTTTACATTTTGTTTACTACGGGCAGCTACCCTTTCTGTACCCTATTTATATTTCAAAAACTGTCTCTTTATTGCTGTCAAATTGAGAACAGTTTTCTTATTTGTATTCAGGTGACAATGAGAGGAAGCTACCAAATGATGCACAGGAAGAAGGCAAGGCTGTCATTATAAACTGAGTGTGTGAGAAACGCCAGTCAATGCTGGTGGCTCATAGGCTGGCCCACCTCTTCCCTCCACCCCTCCCTCCCTCCCCTCTTCCCCCTTTCCCCCTTCCCCCTTTGTCCCTTTCCCCTTTCCCCCTTTCCCCTTTCCCCACTTCCCCACTCCCCCCCTTCCCCCTTTCCCCGCTTCCTTCCTTCCTTCCTTCCATCCTTCCTTCCTTCTTCCCTCCCTCCCTCTCTCCCTCCCTCCCTCCCTTTCTTCCTTCCTTCCTGCCTTTAGAAGCAGCCTCTGCCTGCATGGTAATGTGCTGAGGGCAATGCTATTGTCTGAATGCTCTGAAACCAGAGTAACTAGCTTAAAGGAGACTTAGGGAACACACTTGGTCCACAAAGTGAGCTTCTGAATCAGGCAGAGTCCTAGTTCACCTTTCACAGAGGGTGACAAACTCTGTTCTCTTCATACTTGGCAAAATTACTTGGCATTGCCATGTTTATGTTCCTGCTCCATGTTTAAAAATTCCTGGAAAAAATTCTTCTTTGACACCCTAATAAGAACATCCATCTGAATCCAGATCAGTGTGCATTGGATGCTTCCTGCCAGGTGTTGCAGATCCTTCTGTACTAAGATGTTTGTGATTTTCTGAAATTGTGCAGTGTGAGCACTCAGGAAGCAGGGATCTTCATTTGGCTTCCACTGGCTCCTTAGTTTGCTCCTGCTACAGTGAATGAGGATTCCAATTCCATAATTAGAAAATCTCCTAGGCCATCTTCTCTAGACTGAACAAAGGGAGGTTGCATGGCCCCCTGACACTGGGGGAAATAAGTCACTGCCCTAGAAGAACTCTCTTTGGCTACCCTGAAGAATCTGTGTAATCTCTGTGTGGCCAGTGATATGCACTCAACTCATTACTTCTGCTCTAGAATGTAAGCTCTGTAAAAGGAATAATTGGGTCTTTCTAGATAGGTCTCTATCCCCAGCACCCTAGCACTGAGGCCATCTTAGCTGATTGATAAATATGTGCTTATATGAATAGAAGAGCTGAAAGGAAAGGTATCTTGTTGTTAATTTTTGTTGGTTGGCTGATTGGCGTTAGCCCCAAGACATGCTACCTCAAAACCTGTCATGAACGAACTTCTTGTAGATCCATGTGAGGCTCCTCAACTCTGGCTTGTTTTTTTCTGTGTTTGTTTGGTTTAGTTTAAATTTTAATTTAATTTTTGACAAATTATAATTGTACATAAATACAGGGTACACAGCCACGTTGATATACATACAGTGTGGAATGATTGATTTTGAACCTCCCACCTTAACTAGCTTCCTGTACTGGTTCTCTCTGTCACTATTTATGTCTCCTCTGGCTCTGGCTGATCCTCCAGGTTCTGGCTCTTTGCTTTCCCTAACTTCTCATTCCTGCCACTTTCTTCACACTCTGATCTCTGCTTCCAGGATCTTTGCTTCCTAGGCCTTTTTATTACAAGCGTGACTTTAAAGCTCAGTGGCCAAACTAATCTTGCCCTCAAACAGCCATCCTCCTGTCACTTTCCTTCCCTAACCTTCACTTGTGTTCTTTAGGTGGAACTATGTCATGAACACTGGGGATTTTCTTTGAAAGTAATGATGCTTGCTAATGTGCAATGCTTCTCTGGGAACAGAGACTGACAGGTATAGCACAACTAAAGTACCCTCACCCAAGGTACAAATGAAATGCAGCGTGGCTTTCCATTCTCTGTACTTTGAAGATATGTTGTCGTTCAGCAGCCATCTGAGCAGCTATTTTGAGCATATCACTAGGCCAGTTTCTGTGAGGAATACAAAAAAGCAGGTTCCTCACTGTTCAGTGGCCTGCAGGAAGAGTAGTGTTGGGCATAGCAACGAATACAGGGAAAGATAACGGAATAGAAGGTGTATGTGAGCAGTGCCAAGATAGCAAGAGTTTTAGGAGCAAGTTAATTGCTAAGAATCCCAAAAACAAAAAGTAAATGTTTTACCTCAGGCTGTTTTGGATTCACTCCTAAAGAACTACAGTCATCTTGGGAGGGTTTTCGTATGCTGGAAACACCCAGTGGGACAGATGCTA